>NC_000018.10:18674376-18843894 GCF_000001405.40 Homo sapiens
GATATTTGGCTAGCTTTGGGGATTTCGCTGGAGGCGGGAATACATATAAAAAGCACACAGCAGCGTTCTGAGAAACTGCTTTCTGATGTTTGCATTCAAGTCAAAAGTTGAACACTCCCTTTCATAGAGCAGTCCTGAAACACTCCTTTTGTAGTATCTGGAACTGGACTTTTGGAGCGCTTTCAGGGCTAAGGTGAAAAAGGAAATATCTTCCCATAAAAACTGGACAGAAGCATTCTCAGAAACTTGTTTATGCTGTATCTACTCAACTAACAAAGTTGAACCTTTCTTTTGATAGAGCAGTTTTGAAATGCTCTTTTTGTGGAATCTGCAAGTGGATATTTGGCTAGTTTTGAGGATTTCGTTGGAAGCGGGAATTCATACAAATTGCAGACTGCAGCGTTCTGAGAAACATCTTTGTGATGTTTGTATTCAGGACACAGAGTTGAACATTCCCTATCATAGAGCAGGTTGGAATCACTCCTTTTGTAGTATCTGGAAGTGGACATTTGGAGCGCTTTCAGGCCTATTTTGGAAAGGGAAATATCTTCCCGTAACAACTATGCAGAAGCATTCTCAGAAACTTGTTTGTGATGTGTGCCCTCTACTGACAGAGTTGAACCTTTCTTTTCATAGAGCAGTTTTGAAACACTCTTTTTGTAGAATCTGCAAGAGGATATTTGCATAGCTTTGTGGATTTCGTGGGAAACGGGATTGTCTTCAGGTAAAATCTAGACAGAAGCATTCTCAGAAACTTCTTTGGGATGTTTGCATTCAAGTCACAGAGTAGAACATTCCCTTTGGTAGAGCAGGTTTGAAACACTCTTTTTGTAGTATCTGGAAGTGGACATTTGGAGCGCTTTCAGGCCTATGTTGGAAAGGGAAATATCTTCCCGTAACAACTAGGCAGAAGCATTCTCAGAAACTTATTTGAGATGTGTGTACTCAACTAAGAGAATTGAACCACCGTTTTGAAGGAGCAGTTTTGAAACACTCTTTTTCTGGAATCTGCAAGAGTATATTTGCCTAGCCTTGAGGATTTCGTTGGAAACGGGATTGTCTTTAGATCAAATCTAGACAGAAGCATTCTCAGAAACTTCTTTGGGATGTTTGCATTCAAGTCACAGAGTAGAACATTCCCTTTGGTAGAGCAGGTTTGAAACACTCTTTTTTTAGTATATGGAAGTGGACATTTGGAGCGCTTTCAGGCCTACGTTGGAAAAGGAAATATCTTCCCATAACAACTAGACAGAAGCATTCTCAGAAACTAGTTTCTGATGTGTGTCCTCAACTAACACAGTTGAACATTTCTTTAGACAGAACAGTTTTGAAACACTCATTTTGTGGAATCTGCAAGTGGATATTTGGCTAGATTTGAGGATTTCGTTGGAAACGGGATTACGTATAAAAAGCAGACAGCAGCATTCTCAGAAACTTCTTTGTGATGATTGCATTCAAGTCACAGAATTGAACATTCCCTTTCACAGTAGCAGGTTTGAAACACTCTTTTTGTAGTGTGTGTAAGTGGACATTTGGAGCGCTTTCCGGCCTAAGGTGAACAAGGAAATATCTTCCCATAAAAACTAGACAGAAGCATTCTCAGAAACTTACTCGTGATGTGTGTCCTCAACTAAAGGAGTAGAACCTTTCTTTTCATAGAGAAGTTTTGAAACGCTCTTTTTGTGGAATCTGCAAGTGGATATTTGGCTAGTTTTGAGGATTTCGTTGGAAGCGGGAATTCATACAAATTGCAGACTGCAGCGTTCTGAGAAACATCTTTGTGATGTTTGTATTCAGGACAGAGAGTTGAACATTCCCTATCATAGAGCAGGTTTGAATCACTCCTTTTGTAGTATCTGGAAGTGGACATTTGGAGCGCTTTCAGGCCTATGTTGAAAAAGGAAATATCTTCCCATAACAACTAGACACAAGCATTCTCAGAAACTTGTTTGTGATGTGTGCCCTCTACTGACAGAGTTGAACCTTTCTTTTCATAGAGCAGTTTTGAAACACTCTTTTTGTAGAATCTGCAAGAGGATATTTGCATAGCTTTGAGGATTTCGTGGGAAACGGGATTGTCTTCAGGTAAAATCTAGACAGAAACATTCTCAGAAACTTCTTTGGGATGTTTGCATTCAAGTCACAGAGCAGAACATTCCCTTTGGTAGAGCAGGTTTGAAACACTCTTTTTGTAGTATCTGGAAGTGGACATTTGGAGCACTTTCAGGCCTATGTTGGAAAGGGAAATATCTTCCCGTAACAACTAGGCAGAAGCATTCTCAGAAACTTATTTGAGATGTGTGTACTCAACTAAGAGAATTGAACCACCGTTTTGAAGGAGCAGTTTTGAAACACTCTTTTTCTGGAATCTGCAAGAGGATATTTGCCTAGCCTTGAGGATTTCGTTGGAAACGGGATTGTCTTCAGATCAAATCTAGACAGAAGCATTCTCCGAAACTTCTTTGGGATGTTTGCATTCAAGTCACAGAGTAGAACATTCCCTTTGGTAGAGCAGGTTTGAAACACTCTTTTTGTAGTATCTGGAAGTGGACATTTGGAGCGCTTTCAGGCCTATGTTGGAAAGGGAAATATCTTCCCGTAACAACTAGGCAGAAGCATTCTCAGAAACTTATTTGAGATGTGTGTACTCAACTAAGAGAATTGAACCACCGTTTTGAAGGAGCAGTTTTGAAACACTCTTTTTCTGGAATCTGCAAGAGGATATTTGCCTAGCCTTGAGGATTTCGTTGGAAACGGGATTGTCTTCAGATCAAATCTAGACAGAAGCATTCTCAGAAACTTCTTTGGGATGTTTGCATTCATGTCACAGAGTAGAACATTCCCTTTGGTAGAGCAGGTTTGAAACACTCTTTTTTTAGTATATGGAAGTGGACATTTGGAGCGCTTTCAGGCCTACGTTGGAAAAGGAAATATCTTCCCATAACAACTAGACAGAAGCATTCTCAGAAACTAGTTTCTGATGTGTGTCCTCAACTAACACAGTTGAACATTTCTTTAGACAGAACAGTTTTGAAACACTCTTTTTGTGGAATCTGCAAGTGGCTATTTGGCTAGATTTGAGGATTTCGTTGGAAACGGGATTACATATAAAAAGCAGACAGCAGCATTCTCAGAAAGTTCTTTGGGATGATTGCATTCAAGTCACAGAATTGAACATTCCCTTTCACAGAGCAGGTTTGAAACACTCTTTTTGTAGTGTGTGTAAGTGGACATTTGGAGCACTTTCCGGCCTAAGGTGAAAAAGGAAATATCTTCCCATAAAAACTAGACAGAAGCATTCTCAGAAACTTACTCGTGATGTGTGTCCTCAACTAAAGGAGTAGAACCTTTCTTTTCATAGAGAAGTTTTGAAACGCTCTTTTTGTGGAATCTGCAAGTGGATATTTGGCTAGTTTTGAGGATTTCGTTGGAAGCGGGAATTCATACAAATTGCAGACTGCAGCGTTCTGAGAAACATCTTTGTGATGTTTGTATTCAGGACACAGAGTTGAACATTCCCTATCATAGAGCAGGTTGGAATCACTCCTTTTGTAGTATCTGGAAGTGGACATTTGGAGCGCTTTCAGGCCTATGTTGGAAAAGGAAATATCTTCCCATAACAACTAGACAGAAGCATTCTCAGAAACTTATTTGAGATGGGTGTACTCAACTAAGAGAATTGAACCACCGTTTTCAAGGAGCAGTTTTGAAACGCTCTTTTTCTGGAATCTGCAAGTGGATATTTGGCTAGCTTTGGGGATTTCGCTGGAAGCGGGAATACATATAAAAAACACACAGCAGCGTTCTGAGAAACTGCTTTCTGATGTTTGCATTCAAATCAAAAGTTGAACACTCCCTTTCATAGAGCAGTCTTGAAACACCCCTTTTGTAGTATCTGGAACTGGACATTTGGGGCGCTTTCAGGGCTAAGGTGAAAAAGGAAATATCTTCCCATAAAAACTGGACAGAAGCATTCTCAGAAACTTGGTTATGCTGTATCTACTCAACTAACAAAGTTGAACCTTTCTTTTGATAGAGCAGTTTTGAAATGGTCTTTTTGTGGAATCTGCAAGTGGATATTTGGCTAGTTTTGAGGATTTCGTTGGAAGCGGGAATTCATACAAATTGCAGACTGCAGCGTTCTGAGAAACATCTTTGTGATGTTTGTATTCAGGACAGAGAGTTGAACATTCCCTATCATAGAGCAGGTTGGAATCACTCCTTTTGTAGTATCTG
Organism: Homo sapiens; assembly: GCF_000001405.40. Classification (NCBI taxonomy): domain Eukaryota; kingdom Metazoa; phylum Chordata; class Mammalia; order Primates; family Hominidae; genus Homo; species Homo sapiens. The sequence goes on from NC_000018.10 coordinate 18,678,613, forward strand.
GAAGTGGACATTTGGAGCGCTTTCAGGCCTATTTTGGAAAGGGAAATATCTTCCCGTAACAACTATGCAGAAGCATTCTCAGAAACTTGTTTGTGATGTGTGCCCTCTACTGACAGAGTTGAACCTTTCTTTTCATAGAGCAGTTTTGAAACACTCTTTTTGTAGAATCTGCAAGAGGATATTTGCATAGCTTTGAGGATTTCGTGGGAAAAGGGACTGTCTTCAGGTAAAATCTAGACAGAAGCATTCTCAGAAACTTCTTTGGGATATTTGCATTCAAGTCACAGAGTAGAACATTCCCTTTGGTAGAGCAGGTTTGAAACACTCTTTTTGTAGTATCTGGAAGTGGACATTTGGAGCGCTTTCAGGCCTATGTTGGAAAGGGAAATATCTTCCCGTAACAACTAGGCAGAAGCATTCTCAGAAACTTATTTGAGATGTGTGTACTCAACTAAGAGAATTGAATCACCGTTTTGAAGGAGCAGTTTTGAAACACTCTTTTTCTGGAATCTGCAAGAGGATATTTGCCTAGCCTTGAGGATTTCGTTGGAAACGGGATTGTCTTCAGATCAAATCTAGACAGAAGCATTCTCAGAAACTTCTTTGGGATGTTTGCATTCAAGTCACAGAGTAGAACATTCCCTTTGGTAGAGCAGGTTTGAAACACTCTTTTTTTAGTATATGGAAGTGTACATTTGGAGCGCTTTCAGGCCTACGTTGGAAAAGGAAATATCTTCCCATAACAACTAGACAGAAGCATTCTCAGAAACTAGTTTCTGATGTGTGTCCTCAACTAACACAGTTGAACATTTCTTTAGACAGAACAGTTTTGAAACACTCTTTTTGTGGAATCTGCAAGTGGCTATTTGGCTAGATTTGAGGATTTCGTTGGAAACGGGATTACATATAAAAAGCAGACAGCAGCATTCTCAGAAAGTTCTTTGTGATGATTGCATTCAAGTCACAGAATTGAACATTCCCTTTCACAGAGCAGGTTTGAAACACTCTTTTTGTAGTGTGTGTAAGTGGACATTTGGAGCACTTTCCGGCCTAAGGTGAGAAAGGAAATATCTTCCCATAAAAACTAGACAGAAGCATTCTCAGAAACTTACTCGTGATGTGTGTCCTCAACTAAAGGAGTAGAACCTTTCTTTCGTAGAGAAGTTTTGAAACGCTCTTTTTGTGGAATCTGCAAGTGGATATTTGGCTAGTTTGGAGGATTTCGTTGGAAGCGGGAATTCATACAAATTGCAGACTGCAGCGTTCTGAGAAACATCTTTGTGATGTTTGTATTCAGGACACAGAGTTGAACATTCCCTATCATAGAGCAGGTTGGAATCACTCCTTTTGTAGTATCTGGAAGTGGACATTTGGAGCGCTTTCAGGCCTATGTTGGAAAAGGAAATATCTTCCCATAACAACTAGACAGAAGCATTCTCAGAAACTTATTTGAGATGTGTGTACTCAACTAAGAGAATTGAACCACCGTTTTGAAGGAGCAGTTTTGAAACACTCTTTTTCTGGAATCTGCAAGTGGATATTTGGCTAGCTTTGGGGATTTCGCTGGAAGCGGGAATACATATAAAAAGCACACAGCAGCGTTCTGAGAAACTGCTTTCTGATGTTTGCATTCAAGTCAAAAGTTGAACACTCCCTTTCATAGAGCAGTCTTGAAACACCCCTTTTGTAGTATCTGGAACTGGACTTTTGGAGCGATTTCAGGGCTAAGGTGAAAAAGGAAATATCTTCCCATAAAAACTGGACAGAAGCATTCTCAGAAACTTGTTTATGCTGTATCTACTCAACTAACAAAGTTGAACCTTTCTTTTGATAGAGCAGTTTTGAAATGGTCTTTTTGTGGAATCTGCAAGTGGATATTTGGCTAGTTTTGAGGATTTCGTTGGAAGCGGGAATTCATACAAATTGCAGACTGCAGCGTTCTGAGAAACATCTTTGTGATGTTTGTATTCAGGACACAGAGTTGAACATTCCCTGTCATAGAGCAGGTTGGAATCACTCCTTTTGTAGTATCTGGAAGTGGACATTTGGAGCGCTTTCAGGCCTATTTTGGAAAGGGAAATATCTTCCCATAACAACTATGCAGAAGCATTCTCAGAAACTTGTTTGTGATGTGTGCCCTCTACTGACAGAGTTGAACCTTTCTTTTCATAGAGCAGTTTTGAAACACTCTTTTTGTAGAATCTGCAAGAGGATATTTGCATAGCTTTGAGGATTTCGTGGGAAACGGGATTGTCTTCAGGTAAAATCTAGACAGAAGCATTCTCAGAAACTTCTTTGGGATGTTTGCATTCAAGTCACAGAGTAGAACATTCCCTTTGGTAGAGTAGGTTTGAAACACTCTTTTTGTAGTATCTGGAAGTGGACATTTGGAGCGCTTTCAGGCCCATGTTGGAAAGGGAAATATCCTCCCGTAACAACTAGGCAGAAGCATTCTCAGAAACTTATTTGAGATGTGTGTACTCAACTAAGAGAATTGAACCACCGTTTTGAAGGAGCAGTTTTGAAACACTCTTTTTCTGGAATCTGCAAGAGTATATTTGCCTAGCCTTGAGGATTTCGTTGGAAACGGGATTGTCTTCAGAGAAAATCTAGACAGAAGCATTCTCAGAAACTTCTTTGGGATGTTTGCATTCAAGTCACAGAGTAGAACATTCCCTTTGGTAGAGCAGGTTTGAAACACTCTTTTTGTAGTATATGGAAGTGGACATTTGGATCGCTTTCAGGCCTACGTTGGAAAAGGAAGTATCTTCCCATAACAACTAGACAGAAGCATTCTCAGAAACTAGTTTCTGATGTGTGTCCTCAACTAACACAGTTGAACATTTCTTTAGACAGAACAGTTTTGAAACACTCTTTTTGTGGAATCTGCAAGTGGCTATTTGGCTAGATTTGAGGATTTCGTTGGAAACGGGATTACATATAAAAAGCAGTCAGCAGCATTCTCAGAAAGTTCTTTGTGATGATTGCATTCAAGTCACAGAATTGAACATTCCCTTTCACAGAGCAGGTTTGAAACACTCTTTTTGTAGTGTGTGTAAGTGGACATTTGGAGCACTTTCCGGCCTAAGGTGAAAAAGGAAATATCTTCCCATAAAAACTAGACAGAAGCATTCTCAGAAACTTACTCGTGATGTGTGTCCTCAACTAAAGGAGTAGAACATTTCTTTTCATAGAGAAGTTTTGAAACACTCTTTTTGTGGAATCTGCAAGTGGCTATTTGGCTAGATTTGAGGATTTCGTTGGAAACGGGATTACATATAAAAAGCAGACAGCAGCATTCTCAGAAAGTTCTTTGTGATGATTGCATTCAAGTCACAGAATTGAACATTCCCTTTCACAGAGCAGGTTTGAAACACTCTTTTTGTAGTGTGTGTAAGTGGACATTTGAAGCACTTTCCGGCCTAAGGTGAAAAAGGAAATATCTTCCCATAAAAACTAGACAGAAGCATTCTCAGAAACTTACTCGTGATGTGTGTCCTCAACTAAAGGAGTAGAACCTTTCTTTTCATAGAGAAGTTTTGAAACGCTCTTTTTGTGGAATCTGCAAGTGGATATTTGGCTAGTTTTGAGGATTTCGTTGGAAGCGGGAATTCATACAAATTGCAGACTGCAGCGTTCTGAGAAACATCTTTGTGATGTTTGTATTCAGGACACAGAGTTGAACATTCCCTATCATAGAGCAGGTTGGAATCACTCCTTTTGTAGTATCTGGAAGTGGACATTTGGAGCGCTTTCAGGCCTATGTTGGAAAAGGAAATATCTTCCTATAACAACTAGACAGAAGCATTCTCAGAAACTTATTTGAGATGTGTGTACTCAACTAAGAGAATTGAACCACCGTTTTGAAGGAGCAGTTTTGAAACACTCTTTTTCTGGAATCTGCAAGTGGATATTTGGCTAGCTTTGGGGATTTCGCTGGAAGCGGGAATACATATAAAAAGCACACAGCAGCGTTCTGAGCAAACTGCTTTCTGATGTTTGCATTCAAGTCAAAAGTTGAACACTCCCTTTCATAGAGCAGTCTTGAAACACCCCTTTTGTAGTATCTGGAACTGGACATTTGGAGCGCTTTCAGGGCTAAGGTGAAAAAGGAAATATCTTCCCATAAAAACTGGACAGAAGCATTCTCAGAAACTTGTTTATGCTGTATCTACTCTACTAACAAAGTTGAACCTTTCTTTTGATAGAGCAGTTTTGAAATGCTCTTTTTGTGGAATCTGCAAGTGGATATTTGGCTAGTTTTGAGGATTTCGTTGGAAGCTGGAATTCATGCAAATTGCAGACTGCAGCGTTCTGAGAAACATCTTTGTGATGTTTGTATTCAGGACACAGAGTTGAACTTTCCCTATCATAGAGCAGGTTGGAATCACTCCTTTTGCAGTATCTGGAAGTGGACATTTGGAGCGCTTTCAGGCCTATTTTGGAAAGGGAAATATCTTCCCGTAACAACTAGGCAGAAGCATTCTCTGAAACTTATTTGAGATGTGTGTACTCAACTAAGAGAATTGAACCACCGTTTTGAAGGAGCAGTTTTGAAACACTCTTTTTCTGGAATCTGCTAGAGGATATTTGCCTAGCTTTGAGGATTTCGTTGGAAACGGGATTGTCTTCAGATCAAATCTAGACAGAAGCATTCTCAGAAACTTCTTTGGGATGTTTGTATTCAAGTCAGAGAGTAGAACATTCCCTTTGGAAGAGCAGGTTTGAAACACTCTTTTTTTAGTATATGGAAGTGGACATTTGGAGCGCTTTCAGGCCTACGTTGGAAAAGGAAATATCTTCCCATAACAACTAGACAGAAGCATTCTCAGAAACTAGTTTCTGATGTGTGTCCTCAAGTAACACAGTTGAACTTTTCTTTAGACAGAAGAGTTTTGAAACACTCTTTTTGTGGAATCTGCAAGTGGATATTTGGCTAGATTTGAGGATTTCGTTGGAAACGGGATTACATATAAAAAGCAGACAGGAGCATTCTCAGAAAGTTGTTTGTGATGATTGCATTCAAGTCACAGAATTGAACATTCCCTTTCACAGAGCAGGTTTGAAACACTCTTTTTGTAGTGTGTGTAAGTGGACATTTGGAGCGCTTTCCGGCCTAAGGTGAAAAAGGACATATCTTCCCATAAAAACTAGACAGAAGCATTCTCAGAAACTTACTCGTGATGTGTGTCCTCAACTAAAGGAGTAGAACCTTTCTTTTCATAGAGAAGTTTTGAAACGCTCTTTTTGTGGAATCTGCAAGTGGATATTTGGCTAGTTTTGAGGATTTCGTTGGAAGCGGGAATTCATACAAATTGCAGACTGCAGCGTTCTGAGAAACATCTTTGTGATGTTTGTATTCAGGACACAGAGTTGAACATTCCCTATCATAGAGCAGGTTTGAATCACTCCTTTTGTAGTATCTGGAAGTGGACATTTGGAGCGCTTTCAGGCCTATGTTGGAAAAGGAAATATCTTCCCATAACAACTAGACAGAAGCATTCTCAGAAACTTATTTGAGATGTGTGTACTCAACTAAGAGAATTGAACCACCGTTTTGAAGGAGCAGTTTTGAAACTCTCTTTTTCTGGAATCTGCAAGTGGATATTTGGCTAGCTTTGGGGATTTCGCTGGAAGCGGGAATACATATAAAAAGCACACAGCAGCGTTCTGAGAAACTGCTTTCTGATGTTTGCATTCAAGTCAAAAGTTGAACACTCCCTTTCATAGAGCAGTCTTGAAACACCCCTTTTGTAGTATCTGGAACTGGACTTTTGGAGCGATTTCAGGGCTAAGGTGAAAAAGGAAATATCTTCCCATAAAAACTGGACAGAAGCATTCTCAGAAACTTGTTTATGCTGTATCTACTCAACTAACAAAGTTGAACCTTTCTTTTGATAGAGCAGTTTTGAAATGCTCTTTTTGTGGAATCTGCAAGTGGATATTTGGCTAGTTTTGAGGATTTCGTTGGAAGCGGGAATTCATACAAATTGCAGACTGCAGCGTTCTGAGAAACATCTTTGTGATGTTTGTATTCAGGACACAGAGTTGAACATTCCCTATCATAGAGCAGGTTGGAATCACTCCTTTTGTAGTATCTGGAAGTGGACATTTGGAGCGCTTTCAGGCCTATGTTGAAAAAGGAAATATCTTCCCATAACAAGTAGACACAAGCATTCTCAGTAAACTTGTTTGTGATGTGTGCCCTCTACTGACAGAGTTGAACCTTTCTTTTCATAGAGCAGTTTCGAAACACTCTTTTTGTAGAATCTGCAAGAGGATATTTGCATAGCTTTGAGGATTTCGTGGGAAACGGGATTGTCTTCAGGTAAAATCTAGACAGAAGCATTCTCAGAAAATTCTTCGGGATGTTTGCATTCAAGTCACAGAGTAGAACATTCCCTTTGGTAGAGCAGGTTTGAAACACTCTTTTTGTAGTATCTGGAAGTGGACATTTGGAGCGCTTTCAGGCCTATGTTGGAAAGGGAAATATCTTCCCGTAACAACTAGGCAGAAGCATTCTCAGAAACTTATTTGAGATGTGTGTACTGAACTAAGAGAATTGAACCACCGTTTTGAAGGAGCAGGTTTGAAACACTCTTTTTGTAGTATCTGGAAGTGGACATTTGGAGCGCTTTCAGGCCTATGTTGGAAAGGGAAATATCTTCCCGTAACAACTAGGCAGAAGCATTCTCAGAAACTTATTTGAGATGTGTGTACTCAGCTAAGAGAATTGAACCACCGTTTTGAAGGAGCAGTTTTGAAACACTCTTTTTCTGGAATCTGCAAGAGGATATTTGCATAGATTTGAGGGATTTCGTCTGGACAGAGCGGGAATTACATATAAAAAGCACGACAGCAGCGTTCTGAGAAACTGCTTTCTGATGTTTGCATTCAAGTCAAAAGTTGAACACTCCCTTTCATAGAGCAGTCCTGAAACACTCCTTTTGTAGTATCTGGAACTGGACTTTTGGAGCGCTTTCAGGGCTAAGGTGAAAAAGGAAATATCTTCCCATAAAAACTGGACAGAAGCATTCTCAGAAACTTGTTTATGCTGTATCTACTCAACTAACAAAGTTGAACCTTTCTTTTGATAGAGCAGTTTTGAAATGCTCTTTTTGTGGAATCTGCAAGTGGATATTTGGCTAGTTTGGAGGATTTCGTTGGAAGCGGGAATTCATACAAATTGCAGACTGCAGCGTTCTGAGAAACATCTTTGTGATGTTTGTATTCAGGACACAGAGATGAACATTCCCTATCATAGAGCAGGTTGGAATCACTCCTTTTGTAGTATCTGGAAGTGGACATTTGGAGCGCTTTCAGGCCTATGTTGAAAAAGGAAATATCTTCCCATAACAACTAGACACAAGCATTCTCAGAAACTTGTTTGTGATGTGTGCCCTCTACTGACAGAGTTGAACCTTTCTTTTCATAGAGCAGTTTTGAAACACTCTTTTTGTAGAATGCGCAAGAGGATATTTGCATAGCTTTGAGGATTTCGTGGGAAACGGGATTGTCTTCAGGTAAAATCTAGACAGAAGCATTCTCAGAAACTTCTTTGGGATGTTTGCATTCAAGTCACAGAGTAGAACATTCCCTTTGGTAGAGCAGGTTTGAAACACTCTTTTTGTAGTATCTGGAAGTGGACATTTGGAGCGCTTTCAGGCCTATGTTGGAAAGGGAAATATCTTCCCGTAACAACTAGGCAGAAGCATTCTCAGAAACTTATTTGAGATGTGTGCACTCAACTAAGAGAATTGAACCACCGTTTTGAAGGAGCAGTTTTGAAACACTCTTTTTCTGGAATCTGCAAGAGGATATTTGCCTAGCTTTGAGGATTTCGTTGGAAACGGGATTGTGTTCAGATCAAATCTAGACAGAAGCATTCTCAGAAACTTCTTTGGGATGTTTGCATTCAAGTCACAGAGTAGAACATTCCCTTTGGTAGAGCAGGTTTGAAACACTCTTTTTGTAGTATCTGGAAGTGGACATTTGGAGCGCTTTCAGGCCTATGTTGGAAAGGGAAATATCTTCCCGTAACAACTAGGCAGAAGCATTCTCAGAAACTTATTTGAGATGTGTGTACTCAACTAAGAGAATTGAACCACCGTTTTGAAGGAGCAGTTTTGAAACACTCTTTTTCTGGAATCTGCAAGAGGATATTTGCCTAGCCTTGAGGATTTCGTTGGAAACGGGATTGTCTTCAGATCAAATCTAGACAGAAGCATTCTCAGAAACTTCTTTGGGATGTTTGCATTCAAGTCACAGAGTAGAACATTCCCTTTGGTAGAGCAGGTTTGAAACACTCTTTTTTTAGTATATGGAAGTGGACATTTGGAGCGCTTTCAGGCCTACGTTGGAAAAGGAAATATCTTCCCATAACAACTAGACAGAAGCATTCTCAGAAACTTACTCGTGATGTGTGTCCTCAACTAAAGGAGTAGAACCTTTCTTTCATAGAGAAGTTTTGAAACGCTCTTTTTGTGGAATCTGCAAGTGGATATTTGGCTAGTTTGGAGGATTTCGTTGGAAGCGGGAATTCATACAAATTGCAGACTGCAGCGTTCTGAGAAACATCTTTGTGATGTTTGTATTCAGGACACAGAGTTGAACATTCCCTATCATAGAGCAGGTTGGAATCACTCCTTTTGTAGTATCTGGAAGTGGACATTTGGAGCGCTTTCAGGCCTACGTTGGAAAAGGAAATATCTTCCCATAACAACTAGACAGAAGCATTCTCAGAAACTAGTTTCTGATGTGTGTCCTCAACTAACACAGTTGAACATTTCTGTAGACAGAACAGTTTTGAAACACTCTTTTTGTGGAATCTGCAAGTGGCTATTTGGCTAGATTTGAGGATTTCGTTGGAAACGGGATTACATATAAAAAGCAGACAGCAGCATTCTCAGAAAGTTCTTTGTGATGATTGCATTCAAGTCACAGAATTGAACATTCCCTTTCACAGAGCAGGTTTGAAACACTCTTTTTGTAGTGTGTGTAAGTGGACATTTGGAGCACTTTCCGGCCTAAGGTGAAAAAGGAAATATCTTCCCATAAAAACTAGACAGAAGCATTCTCAGAAACTTACTCGTGATGTGTGTCCTCAACTAAAGGAGTAGAACCTTCCTTTTCATAGAGAAGTTTTGAAACGCTCTTTTTGTGGAATCTGCAAGTGGATATTTGGCTAGTTTTGAGGATTTCGTTGGAAGCGGGAATTCATACAAATTGCAGACTGCAGCGTTCTGAGAAACATCTTTGTGATGTTTGTATTCAGGACACAGAGTTGAACATTCCCTATCATAGAGCAGGTTTGAATCACTCCTTTTGTAGTATCTGGAAGTGGACATTTGGAGCGCTTTCAGGCCTATGTTGGAAAAGGAAATATCTTCCCATAACAACTAGACAGAAGCATTCTCAGAAACTTATTTGAGATGTGTGTACTCAACTAAGAGAATTGAACCACCGTTTTGAAGGAGCAGTTTTGAAACACTCTTTTTCTGGAATCTGCAAGTGGATATTTGGCTAGCTTTGGGGATTTCGCTGGAAGCGGGAATACATATAAAAAGCACACAGCAGCGTTCTGAGAAACTGCTTTCTGATGTTTGCATTCAAGTCAAAAGTTGAACACTCCCTTTCATAGAGCAGTCCTGAAACACCCCTTTTGTAGTATCTGGAACTGGACTTTTGGAGCGCTTTCAGGGCTAAGGTGAAAAAGGAAATATCTTCCCATAAAAACTGGACAGAAGCATTCTCAGAAACTTGTTTATGCTGTATCTACTCAACTAACAAAGTTGAACCTTTCTTTTGATAGAGCAGTTTTGAAATGCTCTTTTTGTGGAATCTGCAAGTGGATATTTGGCTAGTTTTGAGGATTTCGTTGGAAGCGGGAATTCATACAAATTGCAGACTGCAGCGTTCTGAGAAACATCTTTGTGATGTTTGTATTCAGGACAGAGAGTTGAACATTCCCTATCATAGAGCAGGTTGGAATCACTCCTTTTGTAGTATCTGGAAGTGGACATTTGGAGCGCTTTCAGGCCTATGTTGAAAAAGGAAATATCTTCCCATAACAACTAGACACAAGCATTCTCAGAAACTTGTTTGTGATGTGTGCCCTCTACTGACAGAGTTGAACCTTTCTTTTCATAGAGCAGTTTTGAAACACTCTTTTTGTAGAATCTGCAAGAGGATATTTGCATAGCTTTGAGGATTTCGTGGGAAACGGGATTGTCTTCAGGTAAAATCTAGACAGAAGCATTCTCAGAAACTTCTTTGGGATGTTTGCATTCAAGTCACAGAGCAGAACATTCCCTTTGGTAGAGCAGGTTTGAAACACTCTTTTTGTAGTATCTGGAAGTGGACATTTGGAGCGCTTTCAGGCCTATGTTGGAAAGGGAAATATCTTCCCGTAACAACTAGGCAGAAGCATTCTCAGAAACTTATTTGAGATGTGTGTACTCAACTAAGAGAATTGAACCACCGTTTTGAAGGAGCAGTTTTGAAACACTCTTTTTCTGGAATCTGCAAGAGGATATTTGCCTAGCCTTGAGGATTTCGTTGGAAACGGGATTGTCTTCAGATCAAATCTAGACAGAAGCATTCTCAGAAACTTCTTTGGGATGTTTGCATTCATGTCACAGAGTAGAACATTCCCTTTGGTAGAGCAGGTTTGAAACACTCTTTTTTTAGTATATGGAAGTGGACATTTGGAGCGCTTTCAGGCCTACGTTGGAAAAGGAAATATCTTCCCATAACAACTAGACAGAAGCATTCTCAGAAACTAGTTTCTGATGTGTGTCCTCAACTAACACAGTTGAACATTTCTTTAGACAGAACAGTTTTGAAACACTCTTTTTGTGGAATCTGCAAGTGGCTATTTGGCTAGATTTGAGGATTTCGTTGGAAACGGGATTACATATAAAAAGCAGACAGCAGCATTCTCAGAAAGTTCTTTGTGATGATTGCATTCAAGTCACAGAATTGAACATTCCCTTTCACAGAGCAGGTTTGAAACACTCTTTTTGCAGTGTGTGTAAGTGGACATTTGGAGCACTTTCCGGCCTAAGGTGAAAAAGGAAATATCTTCCCATAAAAACTAGACAGAAGCATTCTCAGAAACTTACTCGTGATGTGTGTCCTCAACTAAAGGAGTAGAACCTTTCTTTTCATAGAGAAGTTTTGAAACGCTCTTTTTGTGGAATCTGCAAGTGGATATTTGGCTAGTTTTGAGGATTTCGTTGGAAGCGGGAATTCATACAAATTGCAGACTGCAGCGTTCTGAGAAACATCTTTGTGATGTTTGTATTCAGGACACAGAGTTGAACATTCCCTATCATAGAGCAGGTTGGAATCACTCCTTTTGTAGTATCTGGAAGTGGACATTTGGAGCGCTTTCAGGCCTATTTTGGAAAGGGAAATATCTTCCCGTAACAACTATGCAGAAGCATTCTCAGAAACTTATTTGAGATGTGTGTACTCAACTAAGAGAATTGAACCACCGTTTTGAAGGAGCAGTTTTGAAACACTCTTTTTCTGGAATCTGCAAGTGGATATTTAGCTAGATTTGAGGATTTCGTTGGAAACGGGATTACATATACAAAGCAGACAGCAGCAGTCTCAGAAAGTTCATTGTGATGATTGCATTCAAGTCACAGAATTGAACATTCCCTTTCACAGAGCAGGTTTGAAACACTCTTTTTGTAGTGTGTGTAAGTGGACATTTGGAGCACTTTCCGGCCTAAGGTGAAAAAGGAAATATCTTCCCATAAAAACTAGACAGAAGCATTCTCAGAAACTTACTCGTGATGTGTGTCCTCAACTAAAGGTGTAGAACCTTTCTTTTCATAGAGAAGTTTTGAAACGCTCTTTTTGTGGAATCTGCAAGTGGATATTTGGCTAGTTTTGAGGATTTCGTTGGAAGCGGGAATTCATACAAATTGCAGACTGCAGCGTTCTGAGAAACATCTTTGTGATGTTTGTATTCAGGACACAGAGTTGAAGATTCCCTATCATAGAGCAGGTTGGAATCACTCCTTTTGTAGTATCTGGAAGTGGACATTTGGAGCGCTTTCAGGCCTATGTTGAAAAAGGAAATATCTTCCCATAACAACTAGACACAAGCATTCTCAGAAACTTGTTTGTGATGTGTGCCCTCTACTGACAGAGTTGAACCTTTCTTTTCATAGAGCAGTTTTGAAACACTCTTTTTGTAGAATCTGCAAGAGGATATTTGCATAGCTTCGAGGATTTCGTGGGAAACGGGATTGTCTTCAGGTAAAATCTAGACAGAAGCATTCTCAGAAACTTCTTTGGGATGTTTGCATTCAAGTCACAGAGTAGAACATTCCCTTTGGTAGAGCAGGTTTGAAACACTCTTTTTGTAGTATCTGGAAGTGGACATTTGGAGCGCTTTCAGGCCTATGTTGGAAAGGGAAATATCTTCCCGTAACAACTAGGCAGAAGCATTCTCAGAAACTTATTTGAGATGTGTGTACTCAACTAAGAGAATTGAACCACCGTTTTGAAGGAGCAGTTTGGAAACACTCTTTTTCTGGAATCTGCAAGAGGATATTTGCCTAGCTTTGAGGATTTCGTTGGAAAAGGGATTGTCTTCAGATCCAATCTAGACAGAAGCATTCTCAGAAACTTCTTTGGGATGTTTGCATTCAAGTCACAGAGTAGAACATTCCTTTGGTAGAGCAGGTTTGAAACACTCTTTTTTTAGTATATGGAAGTGGACATTTGGAGCGCTTTCAGGCCTACGTTGGAAAAGGAAATATCTTCCCATAACAACTAGACAGAAGCATTCTCAGAAACTAGTTTCTGATGTGTGTCCTCAACTAACACAGTTGAACATTTCTTTAGACAGAACAGTTTTGAAACACTCTTTTTGTGGAATCTGCAAGTGGATATTTGGCTAGATTTGAGGATTTCGTTGGAAACGGGATTACATATAAAAAGCAGACAGCAGCATTCTCAGAAAGTTCTTTGTGATGATTGCATTCAAGTCACAGAATTGAACATTCCCTTTCACAGAGCAGGTTTGAAACACTCTTTTTGTAGTGTGTGTAAGTGGACATTTGGAGCGCTTTCCGGCCTAAGGTGAACAAGGAAATATCTTCCCATAAAAACTAGACAGAAGCATTCTCAGAAACTTACTCGTGATGTGTGTCCTCAACTAAAGGAGTAGAACCTTTCTATTCATAGAGAAGTTTTGAAAGGCTCTTTTTGTGGAATCTCCAAGTGGATATTTGGCTAGTTTTGAGGATTTCGTTGGAAGCGGGAATTCATACAAATTGCAGACTGCAGCGTTCTGAGAAACATCTTTGTGATGTTTGTATTCAGGACACAGAGATGAACATTCCCTATCATAGAGCAGGTTGGAATCACTCCTTTTGTAGTATCTGGAAGTGGACATTTGGAGCGCTTTCAGGCCTATGTTGAAAAAGGAAATATCTTCCCATAACAACTAGACACAAGCATTCTCAGAAACTTATTTGAGATGTGTGTACTCAACTAAGAGAATTGAACCACCGTTTTGAAGGAGCAGTTTTGAAGCACTCTTTTTCTGGAATCTGCAAGTGGATATTTGGCTAGCTTTGGGGATTTCGCTGGACGCGGGAATACATATAAAAAGCACACAGCAGCGTTCTGAGAAACTGCTTTCTGATGTTTGCATTCAAGTCAAAAGTTGAACACTCCCTTTCATAGAGCAGTCTTGAAACACCCCTTTTGTAGTATCTGGAACTGGACTTTTGGAGCGATTTCAGGGCTAAGGTGAAAAAGGAAATATCTTCCCATAAAAACTGGACAGAAGCATTCTCAGAAACTTGTTTATGCTGTATCTACTCAACTAACAAAGTTGAACCTTTCTTTTGATAGAGCAGTTTTGAAATGGTCTTTTTGTGGAATCTGCAAGTGGATATTTGGCTAGTTTTGAGGATTTCGTTGGAAGCGGGAATTCATACAAATTGCAGACTGCAGCGTTCTGAGAAACATCTTTGTGATGTTTGTATTCAGGACACAGAGTTGAACATTCCCTATCATAGAGCAGGTTGGAATCACTCCTTTTGTAGTATCTGGAAGTGGACATTTGGAGCGCTTTCAGGCCTATTTTGGAAAGGGAAATATCTTCCCGTAACAACTATGCAGAAGCATTCTCAGAAACTTGTTTGTGATGTGTGCCCTCTACTGACAGAGTTGAACCTTTCTTTTCATAGAGCAGTTTTGAAACACTCTTTTTGTAGAATCTGCAAGAGGATATTTGCATAGCTTTGAGGATTTCGTGGGAAACGGGATTGTCTTCAGGTAAAATCTAGACAGAAGCATTCTCAGAAACTTCTTTGGGATGTTTGCAATCAAGTCACAGAGTAGAACATTCCCTTTGGTAGAGCAGGTTTGAAACCCTCTTTTTGTAGTATCTGGAAGTGGACATTTGGAGCGCTTTCAGGCCCATGTTGGAAAGGGAAATATCTTCCCGTAACAACTAGGCAGAAGCATTCTCAGAAACTTATTTGAGATGTGTGTACTCAACTAAGAGAATTTAACCAACGTTTTGAAGGAGCAGTTTTGAAACACTCTTTTTCTGGAATCTGCAAGAGTATATTTGCCTAGCCGTGAGAATTTCGTTGGAAACGGGATTGTCTTCAGATAAAATCTAGACAGAAGCATTCTCAGAAACTTCTTTGGGATGTTTGCATTCAAGTCACAGAGTAGAACATTCCCTTTGGTAGAGCAGGTTTGAAACACTCTTTTTTTAGTATATGGAAGTGGACATTTGGAGCGCTTTCAGGCCTACGTTGGAAAAGGAAATATCTTCCCATAACAACTAGACAGAAGCATTCTCAGAAACTAGTTTCTGATGTGTGTCCTCAACTAACACAGTTGAACTTTTCTTTAGACAGAACAGTTTTGAAACACTCTTTTTGTGGAATCTGCAAGTGGATATTTGGCTAGATTTGAGGATTTCGTTGGAAACGGGATTACATATAAAAAGCAGACAGCAGCATTCTCAGAAAGTTCTTTGTGATGATTGCATTCAAGTCACAGAATTGAACATTCCCTTTCACAGAGCAGGTTTGAAACACTCTTTTTGTAGTGTGTGTAAGTGGACATTTGGAGCGCTTTCCGGCCTAAGGTGAAAAAGGAAATATCTTCCCATAAAAACTAGACAGAAGCATTCTCAGAAACTTACTCGTGATGTGTGTCCTCAACTAAAGGAGTAGAACCTTTCTATTCATAGAGAAGTTTTCAAACGCTCTTTTTGTGGAATCTCCAAGTGGATATTTGGCTAGTTTTGAGGATTTCATTGGAAGCGGGAATTCACACAAATTGCAGGCTGCAGCGTTCTGAGAAACATCTTTGTGATGTTTGTATTCAGGACACAGAGATGAACATTCCCTATCATAGAGCAGGTTGGAATCACTCCTTTTGTAGTATCTGGAAGTGGACATTTGGAGCGCTTTCAGGCCTATGTTGAAAAAGGAAATATCTTCCCATAACAACTAGACACAAGCATTCTCAGAAACTTATTTGAGATGTGTGTACTCAACTAAGAGAATTGAACCACCGTTTTGAAGGAGCAGTTTTGAAACACTCTTTTTCTGGAATCTGCAAGTGGATATTTGGCTAGCTTTGGGGATTTCGCTGGAAGCGGGAATACATATAAAAAGCACACAGCAGCGTTCTGAGAAACTGCTTTCTGATGTTTGCATTCAAGTCAAAAGTTGAACACTCCCTTTCATAGAGCAGTCTTGAAACACCCCTTTTGTAGTATCTGGAACTGGACTTTTGGAGCGATTTCAGGGCTAAGGTGAAAAAGGAAATATCTTCCCATAAAAACTGGACAGAAGCATTCTCAGAAACTTGGTTATGCTGTATCTACTCAACTAACAAAGTTGAACCTTTCTTTTGATAGAGCAGTTTTGAAATGGTCTTTTTGTGGAATCTGCAAGTGGATATTTGGCTAGTTTTGAGGATTTCGTTGGAAGCGGGAATTCATACAAATTGCAGACTGCAGCGTTCTGAGAAACATCTTTGTGATGTTTGTATTCAGGACACAGAGTTGAACATTCCCTATCATAGAGCAGGTTGGAATCACTCCTTTTGTAGTATCTGGAAGTGGACATTTGGAGCGCTTTCAGGCCTATTTTGGAAAGGGAAATATCTTCCCGTAACAACTATGCAGAAGCATTCTCAGAAACTTGTTTGTGATGTGTGCCCTCTACTGACAGAGTTGAACCTTTCTTTTCATAGAGCAGTTTTGAAACACTCTTTTTGTAGAATCTGCAAGAGGATATTTGCATAGCTTTGAGGATTTCGTGGGAAACGGGATTGTCTTCAGGTAAAATCTAGACAGAAGCATTCTCAGAAACTTCTTTGGGATGTTTGCATTCAAGTCACAGAGTAGAACATTCCCTTTGGTAGAGCAGGTTTGAAACACTCTTTTTGTACTATCTGGAAGTGGACATTTGGAGCGCTTTCAGGCCTATGTTGGAAAGGGAAATATCTTCCCGTAACAACTAGGCAGAAGCATTCTCAGAAACTTATTTGAGATGTGTGTACTCAACTAAGAGAATTGAATCTCCGTTTTGAAGGAGCAGTTTTGAAACACTCTTTTTCTGGAATCTGCAAGAGGATATTTGCCTAGCCTTGAGGATTTCGTTGGAAACGGGATTGTCTTCAGATCAAATCTAGACAGAAGCATTCTCAGAAACTTCTTTGGGATGTTTGCATTCAAGTCACAGAGTAGAACATTCCCTTTGGTAGAGCAGGTTTGAAACACTCTTTTTTTAGTATATGGAAGTGGACATTTGGAGCGCTTTCAGGCCTACGTTGGAAAAGGAAATATCTTCCCATAACAACTAGACAGAAGCATTCTCAGAAACTAGTTTCTGATGTGTGTCCTCAACTAACACAGTTGAACATTTCTTTAGACAGAACAGTTTTGAAACACTCTTTTTGTGGAATCTGCAAGTGGATATTTGGCTAGATTTGAGGATTTCGTTGGAAACGGGATTACATATAAAAAGCAGACAGCGCATTCTCAGAAAGTTCTTTGTGATGATTGCATTCAAGTCACAGAATTGAACATTCCCTTTCACAGAGCAGGTTTGAAACACTCTTTTTGTAGTGTGTGTAAGTGGACATTTGGAGCGCTTTCCGGCCTAAGGTGAAAAAGGAAATATCTTCCCATAAAAACTAGACAGAAGCATCCTCAGAAACTTACTCGTGATGTGTGTCCTCAACTAAAGGAGTAGAACCTTTCTATTCATAGAGAAGTTTTGAAACGCTCTTTTTGTGGAATCTCCAAGTGGATATTTGGCTAGTTTTGAGGATTTCGTTGGAAGCGGGAATTCATCCAAATTGCAGACTGCAGCATTCTCAGAAACTTATTTGAGATGTGTGTACTCAACTAAGAGAATTGAACCACCGTTTTGAAGGAGCAGTTTTGAAACTCTCTTTTTCTGGAATCTGCAAGTGGATATTTGGCTAGCTTTGGGGATTTCGCTGGAAGCGGGAATACATATAAAAAGCACACAGCAGCGTTCTGAGAAACTGCTTTCTGATGTTTGCATTCAAGTCAAAAGTTGAACACTCCCTTTCATAGAGCAGTCCTGAAACACCCCTTTTGTAGTATCTGGAACTGGACTTTTGGAGCGATTTCAGGGCTAAGGTGAAAAAGGAAATATCTTCCCATAAAAACTGGACAGAAGCATTCTCAGAAACTTGTTTATGCTGTATCTACTCAACTAACATAGTTGAACCTTTCTTTTGATAGAGCAGTTTTGAAATGCTCTTTTTGTGGAATCTGCAAGTGGATATTTGGCTAGTTTTGAGGATTTCGTTGGAAGCGGGAATTCATACAAATTGCAGACTGCAGCGTTCTGAGAAACATCTTTGTGATGTTTGTATTCAGGACAGAGAGTTGAACATTCCCTATCATAGAGCAGGTTGGAATCACTCCTTTTGTAGTATCTGGAAGTGGACATTTGGAGCGCTTTCAGGCCTATGTTGAAAAAGGAAATATCTTCCCATAACAACTAGACACAAGCATTCTCAGAAACTTGTTTGTGATGTGTGCCCTCTACTGACAGAGTTGAACCTTTCTTTTCATAGAGCAGTTTTGAAACACTCTTTTTGTAGAATCTGCAAGACGATATTTGCATAGCTTTGAGGATTTCGTGCGAAACGGGATTGTCTTCAGGTAAAATCTAGACAGAAGCATTCTCAGAAACTTCTTTGGGATGTTTGCATTCAAGTCACAGAGTAGAACATTCCCTTTGGTAGAGCAGGTTTGAAACACTCTTTTTGTTGTATCTGGAAGTGGACATTTGGAGCGCTTTCAGGCCCATGTTGGAAAGGGAAATATCTTCCCGTAACAACTAGGCAGAAGCATTCTCAGAAACTTACTTGAGATGTGTGTACTCAACTAAGAGAATTGAACCACCGTTTTGAAGGAGCAGTTTTGAAACACTCTTTTTCTGGAATCTGCAAGAGTATATTTTCCTAGCCTTGAGGATTTCGTTGGAAACGGGATTGTCTTCAGATAAAATCTAGACAGAAGCATTCTCAGAAACTTCTTTGGGATGTTTGCATTCAAGTCACAGAGTAGAACATTCCCTTTGGTAGAGCAGGTTTGAAACACTCTTTTTTTAGTATATGGAAGTGGACATTTGGAGCGCTTTCAGGCCTACGTTGGAAAAGGAAATATCTTCCCATAACAACTAGACAGAAGCATTCTCAGAAACTAGTTTCTGATGTGTGTCCTCAACTAACACAGTTGTACATTTCTTTAGACAGAACAGTTTTGAAACACTTTTTTTGTGGAATCTGCAAGTGGATATTGGGCTAGATTTGAGGATTTCGTTGGAAACAGGATTACATATAAAAAGCAGACAGCAGCATTCTCAGAAAGTTCTTTGTGATGATTGCATTCAAGTCACAGAATTGAACATTCCCTTTCACAGAGCAGGTTTGAAACACTCTTTTTGTAGTGTGTGTAAGTGGACATTTGGAGCGCTTTCCGGCCTAAGGTGAAAAAGGAAATATCTTCCCATAAAAACTAGACAGAAGCATTCTCAGAAACTTACTCGTGATGTGTGTCCTCAACTAAAGGAGTAGAACCTTTCTATTCATAGAGAAGTTTTGAAACGCTCTTTTTGTGGAATCTCCAAGTGGATATTTGGCTAGTTTTGAGGATTTCGTTGGAAGCGGGAATTCATACAAATTGCAGACTGCAGCGTTCTGAGAAACATCTTTGTGATGTTTGTATTCAGGACACAGAGATGAACATTCCCTATCATAGAGCAGGTTGGAATCACTCCTTTTGTAGTATCTGGAAGTGGACATTTGGAGCGCTTTCAGGCCTATGTTGAAAAAGGAAATATCTTCCCATAACAACTAGACACAAGCATTCTCAGAAACTTATTTGAGATGTGTGTACTCAACTAAGAGAATTGAACCACCGTTTTGAAGGAGCAGTTTTGAAACACTCTTTTTCTGGAATCTGCAAGTGGATATTTGGCTAGCTTTGGGGATTTCGCTGGAAGCGGGAATACATATAAAAAGCACACAGCAGCGTTCTGAGAAACTGCTTTCTGATGTTTGCATTCAAGTCAAAAGTTGAACACTCCCTTTCATAGAGCAGTCCTGAAACACTCCTTTTGTAGTATCTGGAACTGGATTTTTGGAGCGCTTTCAGGGCTAAGGTGAAAAAGGAAATATCTTCCCATAAAAACTGGACAGAATCATTCTCAGAAACTTGTTTATGCTGTATCTACTCAACTAACATAGTTGAACCTTTCTTTTGATAGAGCAGTTTTGAAATGCTCTTTTTGTGGAATCTGCAAGTGGATATTTGGCTAGTTTGGAGGATTTCGTTGGAAGCGGGAATTCATACAAATTGCAGACTGCAGCGTTCTGAGAAACATCTTTGTGATGTTTGTATTCAGGACACAGAGTTGAACATTCCCTATCATAGAGCAGGTTGGAATCACTCCTTTTGTAGTATCTGGAAGTGGACATTTGGAGCGCTTTCAGGCCTATTTTGGAAAGGGAAATATCTTCCCGTAACAACTATGCAGAAGCATTCTCAGAAACTTGTTTGTGATGTGTGCCCTCTACTGACAGTGTTGAACCTTTCTTTTCATAGAGCAGTTTTGAAACACTCTTTTTGTAGAATCTGCAAGAGGATATTTGCATAGCTTTGAGGATTTCGTGGGAAACGGGATTGTCTTCAGGTAAAATCTAGACAGAAGCATTCTCAGAAACTTCTTTGGGATGTTTGCATTCAAGTCACAGAGTAGAACATTCCCTTTGGTAGAGCAGGTTTGAAACACTCTTTTTGTAGTATCTGGAAGTGGACATTTGGAGCGCTTTCAGGCCCATGTTGGAAAGGGAAATATCTTCCCGTAACAACTAGGCAGAAGCATTCTCTGAAACTTTTTTGAGATGTGTGTACTCAACTAAGAGAATTGAACCACCGTTTTGAAGGAGCAGTTTTGAAACACTCTTTTTCTGGAATCTGCTAGAGGATATTTGCCTAGCTTTGAGGATTTCGTTGGAAACCGCATTGTCTTCAGATAAAATCTAGACAGAAGCATTCTCAGAAACTTCTTTGGGATGTTTGCATTCAAGTCACAGAGTAGAACATTCCCTTTGGTAGAGCAGGTTTGAAACACTCTTTTTTTAGTATATGGAAGTGGACATTTGGAGCGCTTTCAGGCCTACGTTGGAAAAGGAAATATCTTCCCATAACAACTAGACAGAAGCATTCTCAGAAACTAGTTTCTGATGTGTGTCCTCAACTAACACAGTTGAACATTTCTTTAGACAGAACAGTTTTGAAACTCTCTTTTTGTGGAATCTGCAAGTGGCTATTTGGCTAGATTTGAGGATTTCGTTGGAAACGGGATTACATATAAAAAGCAGACAGCAGCATTCTCAGAAAGTTCTTTGTGATGATTGCATTCAAGTCACAGAATTGAACATTCCCTTTCACAGAGCAGGTTTGAAAGACTCTTTTTGTAGTGTGTGTAAGTGGACATTTGGAGCACTTACCGGCCTAAGGTGAAAAAGGAAATATCTTCCCATAAAAACTAGACAGAAGCATTCTCAGAAACTTACTCGTGATGTGTGTCCTCAACTAAAGGAGTAGAACCTTTCTTTTCATAGAGAAGTTTTGAAACGCTCTTTTTGTGGAATCTGCAAGTGGATATTTGGCTAGTTTGGAGGATTTCGTTGGAAGCGGGAATTCATACAAATTGCAGACTGCAGCGTTCTGAGAAACATCTTTGTGATGTTTGTATTCAGGACACAGAGTTGAACATTCCCTATCATAGAGCAGGTTGGAATCACTCCTTTTGTAGTATCTGGAAGTGGACATTTGGAGCGCTTTCAGGCCTATGTTGGAAAAGGAAATATCTTCCCATAACAACTAGACAGAAGCATTCTCAGAAACTTATTTGAGATGTGTGTACTCAACTAAGAGAATTGAACCACCGTTTTGAAGGAGCAGTTTTGAAACACTCTTTTTCTGGAATCTGCAAGTGGATATTTGGCTAGCTTTGGGGATTTCGCTGGAAGCGGGAATACATATAAAAAGCACACAGCAGCGTTCTGAGAAACTGCTTTCTGATGTTTGCATTCAAGTCAAAAGTTGAACACTCCCTTTCATAGAGCAGTCTTGAAACACCCCTTTTGTAGTATCTGGAACTGGACTTTTGGAGCGATTTCAGGGCTAAGGTGAAAAAGGAAATATCTTCCCATAAAAACTGGACAGAAGCATTCTCAGAAACTTGTTTATGCTGTATCTACTCAACTAACAAAGTTGAACCTTTCTTTTGATAGAGCAGGTTTTGAAATGGTCTTTTTGTGGAATCTGCAAGTGGATATTTGGCTAGTTTTGAGGATTTCATTGGAAGCGGGAATTCATACAAATTGCAGACTGCCAGCGTTCTGAGAAACATCTTTGTGATGTTTGTATTCAGGACACAGCAGATGAACATTCCCTATCATAGAGCAGGTTGGAATCACTCCTTTTGTAGTATCTGGAAGTGGACATTTGGAGCGCTTTCAGGCCTATGTTGAAAAAGGAAATATCTTCCCATAACAACTAGACACAGCATTCTCAGAAACTTGTTTGTGATGTGTGCCCTCTACTGACAGAGTTGAACCTTTCTTTTCATAGAGCAGTTTTGAAACACTCTTTTTGTAGAATCTGCAAGAGGATATTTGCATAGCTTTGAGGATTTCGTGGGAAACGGGATTGTCTTCAGGTAAAATCTAGACAGAAGCATTCTCAAAAACTTCTTTGGGATGTTTGCATTCAAGTCACAGAGTAGAACATTCCCTTTGGTAGAGCAGGTTTGAAACACTCTTTTTGTAGTATCTGGAAGTGGACATATGGACCGCTTTCAGGCCCATGTTGGAAAGGGAAATATCTTCCCGTAACAACTAGGCAGAAGCATTCTCAGAAACTTATTTGAGATGTGTGTACTCAACTAAGAGAATTGAACCACCGTTTTGAAGGAGCAGTTTTGAAACACTCTTTTTCTGGAATCTGCAAGAGTATATTTGCCTAGCCTTGAGGATTTCGTTGGAAACGGGATTGTCTTCAGATAAAATCTAGACAGAAGCATTCTCAGAAACTTCGTTGGGTGTTTTCATTCAATTCACAGAGTAGAACATTCCCTTTGTTAGAGCAGGTTTGAAACACTCTTTTTTTAGTATATGGAAGTGGACATTTGGAGCGCTTTCAGGCCTACGTTGGAAAAGGAAATATCTTCCCATAACAACTAGACAGAAGCATTCTCAGAAACTAGTTTCTGATGTGTGTCCTCAACTAACACAGTTGAACATTTCTTTAGACAGAACAGTTTTGAAACACTCTTTTTGTGGAATCTCCAAGTGGCTATTTGGCTAGATTTGAGGATTTCTTTGGAAACGGGATTACATATAAAAAGCTGACAGCAGCATTCTCAGAACGTTCTTTGTGATGATTGCATTCAAGTCACAGAATTGAACATTCCCTTTCACAGAGCAGTTTTGAAACACTCTTTTTGTAGTGTGTGTAAGTGGACATTTGGAGCACTTTCCGGCCTAAGGTGAAAAAGGAAATATCTTCCCATAAAAACTAGACAGAAGCATTCTCAGAAACTTACTCGTGATGTGTGTCCTCAACTAAAGTAGTAGAACCTTTCTTTTCATAGAGAAGTTTTGAAACGCTCTTTTTGTGGAATCTGCAAGTGGATATTTGGCTAGTTTTGAGGATTTCGTTGGAAGCGGGAATTCATACAAATTGCAGACTGCAGCGTTCTGAGAAACATCTTTGTGATGTTTGTATTCAGGACACAGAGTTGAACATTCCCTATCATAGAGCAGGTTTGAATCACTCCTTTTGTAGTATCTGGAAGTGGACATTTGGAGCGCTTTCAGGCCTATGTTGGAAAAGGAAATATCTTCCCATAACAACTAGACAGAAGCATTCCCAGAAACTTATTTGAGATGTGTGTACTCAACTATGAGAATTGAACCACCGTTTTGAAGGAGCAGTTTGGAAACACTCTTTTTCTGGAATCTGCAAGTGGATATTTGGCTAGCTTTGGGGATTTCGCTGTAAGCGGGAATACATATAAAAAGCACACAGCAGCGTTCTGAGAAACTGCTTTCTGATGTTTGCATTCAAGTCAAAAGTTGAACACTCCCTTTCATAGAGCAGTCTTGAAACACCCCTTTTGTAGTATCTGGAACTGGAAATTTGGAGCGCTTTCAGGGCTAAGGTGAAAAAGGAAATATCTTCCCATAAAAACTGGACAGAAGCATTCTCAGAAACTTGTTTATGCTGTATCTACTCAACTAACAAAGTTGAACCTTTCTTTTGATAGAGCAGTTTTGAAATGCTCTTTTTATGGAATCTGCAAGTGGATATTTCGCTAGTTTTGAGGATTTCGTTGGAAGCGGGAATTCATACAAATTGCAGACTGCAGCGTTCTGAGAAACATCTTTGTGATGTTTGTATTCAGGACACAGAGTTGAACATTCCCTATCATAGAGCAGGTTGGGATCACTCCTTTTGTAGTATCTGGAAGTGGACATTTGGAGCGCTTTCAGGCCTATGTTGAAAAAGGAAAAATCTTCCCATAACAACTAGACAGAAGCATTCTCAGAAACTTGTTGGTGATGTGTTTCCTCTACTGACAGAGTTGAACCTTTCTTTTCATAGAGCAGTTCCGAAACACTCTTTTTGTAGAATCTGCAAGAGGATATTTGCATAGCTCTGAGGATTTCGTGGGAAACGGGATTGTCTTCAGGTAAAATCTAGACAGAAGCATTCTCAGAAACTTCTTTGGGATGTTTGCATTCAAGTCACAGAGTAGAACATTCCCTTTGGTAGAGCAGGTTTGAAACACTCTTTTTGTAGTATCTGGAAGTGGACATTTGGAGCGCTTTCAGGCCCATGTTGGAAAGGGAAATATCTTCCCGTAACAACTAGGCAGAAGCATTCTCAGAAACTTATTTGAGATGTGTGTACTCAACTAAGAGAATTGAACCACCGTTTTGAAGGAGCAGTTTTAAAACCCTCTTTTTCTGGAATCTGCAAGAGTATATTTGCCTAGCCTTGAGGATTTCGTTGGAAACGGGATTGTCTTCAGATAAAATCTATACAGAAGCATTCTCAGAAACTTCTTTGGGATGTTTGCATTCAAGTCACAGAGTAGAACATTCCCTTTGGTAGAGCAGGTTTGAAACACTCTTTTTTTAGTATATGGAAGTGGACATTTGGAGCGCTTTCAGGCCTACGTTGGAAAAGGAAATATCTTCCCATAACAACTAGACAGAAGCATTCTCAGAAACTAGTTTCTGATGTGTGTCCTCAACTAACACAGTTGTACATTTCTTTATACAGAACAGTTTTGAAACACTCTTTTTGTGGAATCTGCAAGTGGATATTGGGCTAGATTTGAGGATTTCGTTGGAAACGGGATTACATATAAAAAGCAGACAGCAGCATTCTCAGAAAGTTCTTTGTGATGATTGCATTCAAGTCACAGAATTGAACATTCCCTTTCACAGAGCAGGTTTGAAACACTCTTTTTGTAGTGTGTGTAAGTGGACATTTGGAGCGCTTTCCGGCCTAAGGTGAAAAAGGACATATCTTCCCATAAAAACTAGACAGAAGCATTCTCAGAAACTTACTCGTGATGTGTGTCCTCAACTAAAGGAGTAGAACCTTTCTATTCATAGAGAAGTTTTGAAACGCTCTTTTTGTGGAATCTCCAAGTGGATATTTGGCTAGTTTTGAGGATTACGTTGGAAGCGGGAATTCAAACAAATTGCAGACTGCAGCATTCTCAGAAACTTATTTGAGATGTGTGTACTCAACTAAGAGAATTGAACCACCGTTTTGAAGGAGCAGTTTTGAAACACTCTTTTTCTGGAATCTGCAAGTGGATATTTGGCTAGCTTTGGGGATTTCGCTGGAAGCGGGAATACATATAAAAAGCACACAGCAGCGTTCTGAGAAACTGCTTTCTGATGTTTGCATTCAAGTCAAAAGTTGAACACTCCCTTTCATAGAGCAGTCCTGAAACACCCCTTTTGTAGTATCTGGAACTGGACTTTTGGAGCGATTTCAGGGCTAAGGTGAAAAAGGAAATATCTTCCCATAAAAACTGGACAGAAGCATTCTCAGAAACTTGTTTATGCTGTATCTACTCAACTAACAAAGTTGAACCTTTCTTTTGATAGAGCAGTTTTGAAATGCTCTTTTTGTGGAATCTGCAAGTGGATATTTGGCTAGTTTTGAGGATTTCGTTGGAAGCGGGAATTCATACAAATTGCAGACTGCAGCGTTCTGAGAAACATCTTTGTGATGTTTGTATTCAGGACAGAGAGTTGAACATTCCCTATCATAGAGCAGGTTGGAATCACTCCTTTTGTAGTATCTGGAAGTGGACATTTGGAGCGCTTTCAGGGCCTATGTTGAAAAAGGAAATATTTTCCCATAACAACTAGACACAAGCATTCTCAGAAACTTGTTTGTGATGTGTGCCCTCTACTGACAGAGTTGAACCTTTCTTTTCATAGAGCAGTTTTGAAACACTCTTTTTGTAGAATCCGCAAGAGGATATTTGCATAGCTTTGAGGATTTCGTGGGAAACGGGATTGTCTTCAGGTAAAATCTAGACAGAAGCATTCTCAGAAACTTCTTTGGGATGTTTGCATTCAAGTCACAGAGTAGAACATTCCCTTTTTTAGAGCAGGTTTGAAACACTCTTTTTGTAGTATCTGGAAGTGGACATTTGGAGCGCTTTCAGGCCCATGTTGGAAAGGGAAATATCTTCCCGTAACAACTAGGCAGAAGCATTCTCAGAAACTTATTTGAGATGTGTGTACTCAACGAAGAGAATTGAAGCACCGTTTTGAAGGAGCAGTTTTGAAACCCTCTTTTTCTGGAATCTGCAAGAGTATATTTGCCTAGCCTTGAGGATTTCGTTGGAAACGGGATTGTCTTCAGATCAAATCTAGACAGAAGCATTCTCAGAAACTTCTTTGGGATGTTTGCATTCAAGTCACAGAGTAGAACATTACCTTTGGTAGAGCAGGTTTGAAACACTCTTTTTTTAGTATATGGAAGTGGACATTTGGAGCGCTTTCAGGCCTACGTTGGAAAAGGAAATATCTTCCCATAACAACTAGACAGAAGCATTCTCAGAAACTAGTTTCTGATGTGTGTCCTCAACTAACACAGTTGAACTTTTCTTTAGACAGAACAGTTTTGAAACACTCTTTTTGTGGAATCTGCAAGTGGATATTTGGCTAGATTTGAGGATTTCGTTGGAAACGGGATTACATATAAAAAGCAGACAGCAGCATTCTCAGAAACTTCTTTGTGATGATTGCATTCAAGTCACAGAATTGAACATTCCCTTTCACAGAGCAGGTTTGAAACACTCTTTTTGTAGTGTGTGTAAGTGGACATTTGGAGCACTTTCCGGCCTAAGGTGAAAAAGGAAATATCTTCCCATAAAAACTAGACAGAAGCATTCTCAGAAACTTACTCGTGATGTGTGTCCTCAACTAAAGGAGTAGAACCTTTCTTTTCATAGAGAAGTTTTGAAACGCTCTTTTTGTGGAATCTGCAAGTGGATATTTGGCTAGTTTGGAGGATTTCGTTGGAAGCGGGAATTCATACAAATTGCAGACTGCAGCGTTCTGAGAAACATCTTTGTGATGTTTGTATTCAGGACACAGAGTTGAACATTCCCTATCATAGAGCAGGTTGGAATCACTCCTTTTGTAGTATCTGGAAGTGGACATTTGGAGCGCTTTCAGGCCTATGTTGGAAAAGGAAATATCTTCCCATAACAACTAGACAGAAGCATTCTCAGAAACTTATTTGAGATGTGTGTACTCAACTAAGAGAATTGAACCACCGTTTTGAAGGAGCAGTTTTGAAACACTCTTTTTCTGGAATCTGCAAGTGGATATTTGGCTAGCTTTGGGGATTTCGCTGGAAGCGGGAATACATATAAAAAGCACACAGCAGCGTTCTGAGAAACTGCTTTCTGATGTTTGCATTCAAGTCAAAAGTTGAACACTCCCTTTCATAGTGCAGTCTGAAACACTCCTTTTGTAGTATCTGGAACTGGACTTTTGGAGCGCTTTCAGGGCTAAGGTGAAAAAGGAAATATCTTCCCATAAAAACTGGACAGAAGCATTCTCAGAAACTTGTTTATGCTGTATCTACTCAACTAACAAAGTTGAACCTTTCTTTTGATAGAGCAGTTTTGAAATGGTCTTTTTGTGGAATCTGCAAGTGGATATTTGGCTAGTTTTGAGGATTTCGTTGGAAGCGGGAATTCATACAAATTGCAGACTGCAGCGTTCTGAGAAACATCTTTGTGATGTTTGTATTCAGGACACAGAGTTGAACATTCCCTATCATAGAGCAGGTTGGAATCACTCCTTTTGTAGTATCTGGAAGTGGACATTTGGAGCGCTTTCAGGCCTATTTTGGAAAGGGAAATATCTTCCCGTAACAACTATGCAGAAGCATTCTCAGAAACTTGTTTGTGATGTGTGCCCTCTACTGACAGAGTTGAACCTTTCTTTTCATAGAGCAGTTTTGAAACACTCTTTTTGTAGAATCTGCAAGAGGATATTTGCATAGCTTTGAGGATTTCGTGGGAAACGGGATTGTCTTCAGGTAAAATCTAGACAGAAGCATTCTCAGAAACTTCTTTGGGATGCTTGCATTCAAGTCACAGAGTAGAACATTCCCTTTGGTAGAGCAGGTTTGAAACACTCTTTTTGTAGTATCTGGAAGTGGACATTTGGAGCGCTTTCAGGCCTACGTTGGAAAAGGAAATATTCTTCCCATAACAACTAGACAGAAGCATTCTCAGAAACTTATTTGAGATGTGTGTACTCAACTAAGAGAATTGAACCACCGTTTTGAAGGAGCAGTTTTGAAACACTCTTTTTCTGGAATCTGCAAGAGGATATTTGCCTAGCTTTGAGGATTTCGTTGGAAACGGGATTGTGTTCAGATCAAATCTAGACAGAAGCATTCTCAGAAACTTCTTTGGGATGTTTGCATTCAAGTCACAGAGTAGAACATTCCCTTTGGTAGAGCAGGTGTGAAACACTCTTTTTTTAGTATATGGAAGTGGACATTTGGAGCGCTTTCAGGCCTACGTTGGAAAAGGAAATATCTTCCCATAACAACTAGACAGAAGCATTCTCAGAAACTAGTTTCTGATGTGTGTCCTCAACTAACACAGTTGAACATTTCTTTAGACAGAACAGTTTTGAAACACTCTTTTTGTGGAATCTGCAAGTGGCTATTTGGCTAGATTTGAGGATTTCGTTGGAAACGGGATTACATATAAAAAGCAGACAGCAGCATTCTCAGAAAGTTCTTTGTGATGATTGCATTCAAGTCACAGAATTGAACATTCCCTTTCACAGAGCAGGTTTGAAACACTCTTTTTGTAGTGTGTGTAAGTGGACATTTGGAGCACTTTCCGGCCTAAGGTGAGAAAGGAAATATCTTCCCATAAAAACTAGACAGAAGCATTCTCAGAAACTTACTCGTGATGTGTGTCCTCAACTAAAGGAGTAGAACCTTTCTTTCATAGAGAAGTTTTGAAACGCTCTTTTTGTGGAATCTGCAAGTGGATATTTGGCTAGTTTGGAGGATTTCGTTGGAAGCGGGAATTCATACAAATTGCAGACTGCAGCGTTCTGAGAAACATCTTTGTGATGTTTGTATTCAGGACACAGAGTTGAACATTCCCTATCATAGAGCAGGTTGGAATCACTCCTTTTGTAGTATCTGGAAGTGGACATTTGGAGCGCTTTCAGGCCTACGTTGGAAAAGGAAATATCTTCCCATAACAACTAGACAGAAGCATTCTCAGAAACTAGTTTCTGATGTGTGTCCTCAACTAACACAGTTGAACATTTCTTTAGACAGAACAGTTTTGAAACACTCTTTTTGTGGAATCTGCAAGTGGCTATTTGGCTAGATTTGAGGATTTCGTTGGAAACGGGATTACATATAAAAAGCAGTCAGCAGCATTCTCAGAAAGTTCTTTGTGATGATTGCATTCAAGTCACAGAATTGAACATTCCCTTTCACAGAGCAGGTTTGAAACACTCTTTTTGTAGTGTGTGTAAGTGGACATTTGGAGCACTTACCGGCCTAAGGTGAAAAAGGAAATATCTTCCCATAAAAACTAGACAGAAGCATTCTCAGAAACTTACTCGTGATGTGTGTCCTCAACTAAAGGAGTAGAACCTTTCTTTTCATAGAGAAGTTTTGAAACGCTCTTTTTGTGGAATCTGCAAGTGGATATTTGGCTAGTTTGGAGGATTTCGTTGGAAGCGGGAATTCATACAAATTGCAGACTGCAGCGTTCTGAGAAACATCTTTGTGATGTTTGTATTCAGGACACAGAGTTGAACATTCCCTATCATAGAGCAGGTTTGAATCACTCCTTTTGTAGTATCTGGAAGTGGACATTTGGAGCGCTTTCAGGCCTATGTTGGAAAAGGAAATATCTTCCCATAACAACTAGACAGAAGCATTCTCAGAAACTTATTTGAGATGTGTGTACTCAACTAAGAGAATTGAACCACCGTTTTGAAGGAGCAGTTTTGAAACACTCTTTTTCTGGAATCTGCAAGTGGATATTTGGCTAGCTTTGGGGATTTCGCTGGAAGCGGGAATACATATAAAAAGCACACAGCAGCGTTCTGAGAAACTGCTTTCTGATGTTTGCATTCAAGTCAAAAGTTGAACACTCCCTTTCATAGAGCAGTCCTGAAACACTCCTTTTGTAGTATCTGGAACTGGACTTTTGGAGCGCTTTCAGGGCTAAGGTGAAAAAGGTAATATCTTCCCATAAAAACTAGACAGAAGCATTCTCAGAAACTTGTTTATGCTGTATCTACTCAACTAACAAAGTTGAACCTTTCTTTTGATAGAGCAGTTTTGAAATGCTCTTTTTGTGGAATCTGCAAGTGGATATTTGGCTAGTTTTGAGGATTTCGTTGGAAGCGGGAATTCATACAAATTGCAGACTGCAGCGTTCTGAGAAACATCTTTGTGATGTTTGTATTCAGGACACAGAGATGAACATTCCCTATCATAGAGCAGGTTTGAATCACTCCTTTTGTAGTATCTGGAAGTGGACATTTGGAGCGCTTTCAGGCCTATGTTGGAAAAGGAAATATCTTCCCATAACAACTAGACAGAAGCATTCTCAGAAACTTATTTGAGATGTGTGTACTCAACTAAGAGAATTGAACCACCGTTTTGAAGGAGCAGTTTTGAAACACTCTTTTTCTGGAATCTGCAAGTGGATATTTGGCTAGCTTTGGGGATTTCGCTGGAAGCGGGAATACATATAAAAAGCACACAGCAGCGTTCTGAGAAACTGCTTTCTGATGTTTGCATTCAAGTCAAAAGTTGAACACTCCCTTTCATAGAGCAGTCTTGAAACACCCCTTTTGTAGTATCTGGAACTGGACTTTTGGAGCGATTTCAGGGCTAAGGTGAAAAAGGAAATATCTTCCCATAAAAACTGGACAGAAGCATTCTCAGAAACTTGTTTATGCTGTATCTACTCAACTAACAAAGTTGAACCTTTCTTTTGATAGAGCAGTTTTGAAATGGTCTTTTTGTGGAATCTGCAAGTGGATATTTGGCTAGTTTTTAGGATTTCGTTGGAAGCGGGAATTCATACAAATTGCAGACTGCAGCGTTCTGAGAAACATCTTTGTGATGTTTGTATTCAGGACAGAGAGTTGAACATTCCCTATCATAGAGCAGGTTGGAATCACTCCTTTTGTAGTATCTGGAAGTGGACATTTGGAGCGCTTTCAGGCCTATGTTGAAAAAGGAAATATCTTCCCATAACAACTAGACACAAGCATTCTCAGAAACTTGTTTGTGATGTGTGCCCTCTACTGACAGAGTTGAACCTTTCTTTTCTTAGAGCAGTTTTGAAACACTCTTTTTGTAGAATCTGCAAGAGGATATTTGCATAGCTTTGAGGATTTCGTGGGAAACGGGATTGTCCTTCAGGTAAAATCTAGACAGAAGCATTCTCAGAAACTTCTTTGGGATGTTTGCATTCAAGTCACAGAGTAGAACATTCCCTTTGGTAGAGCAGGTTTGAAACACTCTTTTTGTAGTATCTGGAAGTGGACATTTGGAGCGCTTTCAGGCCTATGTTGGAAAGGGAAATATCTTCCCGTAACAACTAGGCAGAAGCATTCTCAGAAACTTATTTGAGATGTGTGTACTCAACTAAGAGAATTGAACCACCGTTTTGAAGGAGCAGTTTTGAAACACTCTTTTTCTGGAATCTGCAAGAGGATATTTGCCTAGCCTTGAGGATTTCGTTGGAAACGGGATTGTCTTCAGATCAAATCTAGACAGAAGCATTCTCAGAAACTTCTTTGGGATGTTTGCATTCAAGTCACAGAGTAGAACATTCCCTTTGGTAGAGCAGGTTTGAAACACTCTTTTTTTAGTATATGGAAGTGGACATTTGGAGCGCTTTCAGGCCTACGTTGGAAAAGGAAATATCTTCCCATAACAACTAGACAGAAGCATTCTCAGAAACTAGTTTCTGATGTGTGTCCTCAACTAACACAGTTGAACATTTCTTTAGACAGAACAGTTTTGAAACACTCTTTTTGTGGAATCTGCAAGTGGCTATTTGGCTAGATTTGAGGATTTCGTTGGAAACGGGATTACATATAAAAAGCAGACAGCAGCATTCTCAGAAAGTTCTTTGTGATGATTGCATTCAAGTCACAGAATTGAACATTCCCTTTCACAGAGCAGGTTTGAAACACTCTTTTTGTAGTGTGTGTAAGTGGACATTTGGAGCACTTTCCGGCCTAAGGTGAAAAAGGAAATATCTTCCCATAAAAACTAGACAGAAGCATTCTCAGAAACTTACTCGTGATGTGTGTCCTCAACTAAAGGAGTAGAACCTTTCTTTTCATAGAGAAGTTTTGAAACACTCTTTTTGTGGAATCTGCAAGTGGCTATTTGGCTAGATTTGAGGATTTCGTTGGAAACGGGATTACATATAAAAAGCAGACAGCAGCATTCTCAGAAAGTTGTTTGTGATGATTGCATTCAAGTCACAGAATTGAACATTCCCTTTCACAGAGCAGGTTTGAAACACTCTTTTTGTAGTGTGTGTAAGTGGACATTTGGAGCACTTTCCGGCCTAAGGTGAAAAAGGAAATATCTTCCCATAAAAACTAGACAGAAGCATTCTCAGAAACTTACTCGTGATGTGTGTCCTCAACTAAAGGAGTAGAACCTTTCTTTTCATAGAGAAGTTTTGAAACGCTCTTTTTGTGGAATCTGCAAGTGGATATTTGGCTAGTTTTGAGGATTTCGTTGGAAGCGGGAATTCATACAAATTGCAGACTGCAGCGTTCTGAGAAACATCTTTGTGATGTTTGTATTCAGGACACAGAGTTGAACATTCCCTATCATAGAGCAGGTTGGAATCACTCCTTTTGTAGTATCTGGAAGTGGACATTTGGAGCGCTTTCAGGCCTATGTTGAAAAAGGAAATATCTTCCCATAACAACTAGACAGAAGCATTCTCAGAAACTTCTTTGTGATGTGTGCCCTCTACTGACACAGTTGAACCTTTCTTTTCATAGAGCAGTTTCGAAACACTCTTTTTGTAGAATCTGCAAGAGGATATTTGCATAGATTTGAGGATTTCGTGGGAAACGGGATTGTCTTCAGGTAAAATCTAGACAGAAGCATTCTCAGAAACTTCTTTGGGATGTTTGCATTCAAGTCACAGAGTAGAACATTCCCTTTGGTAGAGCAGGTTTGAAACACTCTTTTTGTAGTGTGTGTAAGTGGACATTTGGAGCGCTTTCTGGCCTACGTTGGAAAAGGAAATATCTTCCCATAACAACTAGACAGAAGCATTCTCAGAAACTAGTTTCTGATGTGTGTCCTCAACTAACACAGTTGAACATTTCTTTAGACAGAACAGTTTTGAAACACTCTTTTTGTGGAATCTGCAAGTGGATATTTGGCTAGATTTGAGGATTTCGTTGGAAACGGGATTATATATAAAAAGCAGACAGCAGCATTCTCAGAAACTTCTTTGTGATGATTGCATTCAAGTCACAGAATTGAACATTCCTTTTCACAGAGCAGGTTTGAAACACTCTTTTTCTAGTGTGTGTAAGTGGACATTTGGAGCGCTTTCCGGCCTAAGGTGAACAAGGAAATATCTTCCCATAAAAACTAGACAGAAGCATTCTCAGAAACTTACTCGTGATGTGTGTCCTCAACTAAAGGAGTAGAACCTTTCTTTTCATAGAGAAGTTTTGAAACGCTCTTTTTGTGGAATCTGCAAGTGGATATTTGGCTAGTTTGGAGGATTTCGTTGGAAGCGGGAATTCATACAAATTGCAGACTGCAGCGTTCTGAGAAACATCTTTGTGATGTTTGTATTCAGGACACAGAGTTGAACATTCCCTATCATAGAGCAGGTTGGAATCACTCCTTTTGTAGTATCTGGAAGTGGACATTTGGAGCGCTTTCAGGCCTATGTTGGAAAAGGAAATATCTTCCCATAACAACTAGACAGAAGCATTCTCAGAAACTTATTTGAGATGTGTGTACTCAACTAAGAGAATTGAACCACCGTTTTGAAGGAGCAGTTTTGAAACACTCTTTTTCTGGAATCTGCAAGTGGATATTTGGCTAGCTTTGGGGATTTCGCTGGAAGCGGGAATACATATAAAAAGCACACAGCAGCGTTCTGAGAAACTGCTTTCTGATGTTTGCATTCAAGTCAAAAGTTGAACACTCCCTTTCATAGAGCAGGCCTGAAACACCCCTTTTGTAGAATCTGGAAGTGGACATTTGGAGCGCTTTCAGGGCTAAGGTGAAAAAGGAAATATCTTCCCATAAAAACTGGACAGAAGCATTCTAAGAAACTTACTCGTGATGTGTGTCCTCAACTAAAGGAGTAGAACCTTTCTTTTCATAGAGAAGTTTTGAAACGCTCTTTTTGTGGAATCTGCAAGTGGATATTTGGCTAGTTTGGAGGATTTCGTTGGAAGCGGGAATTCATACAAATTGCAGACTGCAGCGTTCTGAGAAACATCTTTGTGATGTTTGTATTCAGGACACAGAGTTGAACATTCCCTATCATAGAGCAGGTTTGAATCACTCCTTTTGTAGTATCTGGAAGTGGACATTTGGAGCGCTTTCAGGCCCTATGTTGGAAAAGGAAATATCTTCCCATAACAAATAGACAGGAAGCATTCTCAGAAACTTATTTGAGATGTGTGTACTCAACTAAGAGAATTGAACCACCGTTTTGAAGGAGCAGTTTTGAAACTCTCTTTTTCTGGAATCTGCAAGTGGATATTTGGCTAGCTTTGGGGATTTCGCTGGAAGCGGGAATACATATAAAAAGCACACAGCAGCGTTCTGAGAAACTGCTTTCTGATGTTTGCATTCAAGTCAAAAGTTGAACACTCCCTTTCATAGAGCAGTCTTGAAACACCCCTTTTGTAGTATCTGGAACTGGACTTTTGGAGCGATTTCAGGGCTAAGGTGAAAAAGGAAATATCTTCCCATAAAAACTGGACAGAAGCATTCTCAGAAACTTGTTTATGCTGTATCTACTCAACTAACAAAGTTGAACCTTTCTTTTGATAGAGCAGTTTTGAAATGGTCTTTTTGTGGAATCTGCAAGTGGATATTTGGCTAGTTTTGAGGATTTCGTTGGAAGCGGGAATTCATACAAATTGCAGACTGCAGCGTTCTGAGAAACATCTTTGTGATGTTTGTATTCAGGACACAGAGTTGAACATTCCCTATCATAGAGCAGGTTGGAATCACTCCTTTTGTAGTATCTGGAAGTGGACATTTGGAGCGCTTTCAGGCCTATTTTGGAAAGGGAAATATCTTCCCGTAACAACTATGCAGAAGCATTCTCAGAAACTTGTTTGTGATGTGTGCCCTCTACTGACAGAGTTGAACCTTTCTTTTCATAGAGCAGTTTTGAAACACTCTTTTTGTAGAATCTGCAAGAGGATATTTGCATAGCTTTGAGGATTTCGTGGGAAACGGGATTGTCTTCAGGTAAAATCTAGACAGAAGCATTCTCAGAAACTTCTTTGGGATGTTTGCATTCAAGTCACAGAGTAGAACATTCCCTTTGGTAGAGCAGGTTTGCAACACTCTTTTTGTAGTATCTGGAAGTGGACATTTGGAGCGCTTTCAGGCCTATGTTGGAAAGGGAAATATCTTCCACTAACAACTAGGCAGAAGCATTCTCAGAAACTTATTTGAGATGTGTGTACTCAACTAAGAGAATTGAACCACCGTTTTGAAGGAGCAGTTTTGAAACACTCTTTTTCTGGAATCTGCAAGAGTATATTTGCCTAGCCTTGAGGATTTCGTTGGAAACGGGATTGTATTCAGATAAAATCTAGACAGAAGCATTCTCAGAAACTTCTTTGGGATGTTTGTATTCAAGTCACAGAGTAGAACATTCCCTTTGGTAGAGCAGGTTTGAAACACTCTTTTTTTAGTATATGGAAGTGGACATTTTGATCGCTTTCAGGCCTACGTTGGAAAGGGAAATATCTTCCAATAACAACTAGACAGAAGCATTCTCAGAAACTAGTTTCTGATGTGTGTCCTCAACTAACACAGTTGAACATTTCTATAGACAGAACAGTTTTGAAACACTCTTTTTGTGGAATCTGCAAGTGGCTATTTGGCTAGATTTGAGGATTTCGTTGGAAACGGGATTACATATAAAAAGCAGTCAGCAGCATTCTCAGAAAGTTCTTTGTGATGATTGCATTCAAGTCACAGAATTGAACATTCCCTTTCACAGAGCAGGTTTGAAACACTCTTTTTGTAGTGTGTGTAAGTGGACATTTGGAGCGCTTTCCGGCCTAAGGTGAAAAAGGAAATATCTTCCCATAAAAACTAGACAGAAGCATTCTCAGAAACTTACTCGTGATGTGTGTCCTCAACTAAAGGAGTAGAACCTTTCTATTCATAGAGAAGTTTTGAAACGCTCTTTTTGTGGAATCTCCAAGTGGATATTTGGCTAGTTTTGAGGATTTCGTTGGAAGCGGGAATTCATACAAATTGCAGACTGCAGCGTTCTGAGAAACATCTTTGTGATGTTTGTATTCAGGACACAGAGATGAACATTCCCTATCATAGAGCAGGTTGGAATCACTCCTTTTGTAGTATCTGGAAGTGGACATTTGGAGCGCTTTCAGGCCTATGTTGAAAAAGGAAATATTTTCCCATAACAACTAGACACAAGCATTCTCAGAAACTTGTTTGTGATGTGTGCCCTCTACTGACAGAGTTGAACCTTTCTTTTCATAGAGCAGTTTTGAAACACTCTTTTTGTAGAATCCGCAAGAGGATATTTGCATAGCTTTGAGGATTTCGTGGGAAACGGGATTGTCTTCAGGTAAAATCTAGACAGAAGCATTCTCAGAAACTTCTTTGGGATGTTTGCATTCAAGTCACAGAGTAGAACATTCCCTTTGGTAGAGCAGGTTTGAAACACTCTTTTTGTAGTATCTGGAAGTGGACATTTGGAGCGCTTTCAGGCCCATGTTGGAAAGGGAAATATCTTCCCGTAACAACTAGGCAGAAGCATTCTCAGAAACTTATTTGAGATGTGTGTACTCAACTAAGAGAATTGAACCACCGTTTTGAAGGAGCAGTTTTGAAACACTCTTTTTCTGGAATCTGCAAGAGGATATTTGCCTATCCTTGAGGATTTCGTTGGAAACGGGATTGTCTTCAGAGAAAATCTAGACAGAAGCATTCTCAGAAACTTCTTTGGGATGCTTGCATTCAAGTCACAGAGTAGAACATTCCCTTTGGTAGAGCAGGTTTGAAACACTCTTTTCGTAGTATCTGGAAGTGGACATTTGGAGCGCTTTCAGGCCTACGTTGGAAAAGGAAATATCTTCCCATAACAACTAGACAGAAGCATTCTCAGAAACTAGTTTCTGATGTGTGTCCTCAACTAACACAGTTGAACATTTCTTTAGACAGAACAGTTTTGAAACACTCTTTTTGTGGAATCTGCAAGTGGCTATTTGGCTAGATTTGAGGATTTCGTTGGAAACGGGATTACATATAAAAAGCAGTCAGCAGCATTCTCAGAAAGTTCTTTGTGATGATTGCATTCAAGTCACAGAATTGAACATTCCCTTTCACAGAGCAGGTTTGAAACACTCTTTTTGTAGTGTGTGTAAGTGGACATTTGGAGCACTTACCGGCCTAAGGTGAAAAAGGAAATAATCTTCCCATAAAAACTAGACAGAAGCATTCTCAGAAACTTACTCGTGATGTGTGTCCTCAACTAAAGGAGTAGAACCTTTCTTTTCATAGAGAAGTTTTGAAACGCTCTTTTTGTGGAATCTGCAAGTGGATATTTGGCTAGTTTTGAGGATTTCGTTGGAAGCGGGAATTCATACAAATTGCAGACTGCAGCGTTCTGAGAAACATCGTTGTGATGTTTGTATTCAGGACACAGAGTTGAACATTCCCTATCATAGAGCAGGTTTGAATCACTCCTTTTGTAGTATCTGCAAGTGGACATTTGGAGCGCTTTCAGGCCTATGTTGGAAAAGGAAATATCTTCCCATAACAACTAGACAGAAGCATTCTCAGAAACTTATTTGAGATGTGTGTACTCAACTAAGAGAATTGAACCACCGTTTTGAAGGAGCAGTTTTGAAACACTCTTTTTCTGGAATCTGCAAGTGGATATTTGGCTAGCTTTGGGGATTTCGCTGGAAGCGGGAATACATATAAAAAGCACACAGCAGCGTTCTGAGAAACTGCTTTCTGATGTTTGCATTCAAGTCAAAATTTGAACACTCCCTTTCATAGAGCAGTCTTGAAACACCCGTTTTGTAGTATCTGGAACTGGACTTTTGGAGCGATTTCAGGGCTAAGGTGAAAAAGGAAATATCTTCCCATAAAAACTGGACAGAAGCATTCTCAGAAACTTGTTTATGCTGTATCTACTCAACTAACAAAGTTGAACCTTTCTTTTGATAGAGCAGTTTTGAAATGGTCTTTTTGTGGAATCTGCAAGTGGATATTTGGCTAGTTTTGAGGATTTCGTTGGAAGCGGGAATTCATACAAATTGCAGACTGCAGCGTTCTGAGAAACATCTTTGTGATGTTTGTATTCAGGACACAGAGTTGAACATTCCCTATCATAGAGCAGGTTGGAATCACTCCTTTTGTAGTATCTGGAAGTGGACATTTGGAGCGCTTTCAGGCCTATTTTGGAAAGGGAAATATCTTCCCGTAACAACTATGCAGAAGCATTCTCAGAAACTTGTTTGTGATGTGTGCCCTCTACTGACAGAGTTGAACCTTTCTTTTCATAGAGCAGTTTTGAAACACTCTTTTTGTAGAATCTGCAAGAGGATATTTGCATAGCTTTGAGGATTTCGTGGGAAACGGGATTGTCTTCAGGTAAAATCTAGACAGAAGCATTCTCAGAAACTTCTTTGGGATGTTTGCATTCAAGTCACAGAGTAGAACATTCCCTTTGGTAGAGCAGGTTTGAAACACTCTTTTTGTAGTATCTGGAAGGGGACATTTGGAGCGCTTTCAGGCCTATGTTGGAAAGGGAAATATCTTCCGGTAACAACTAGGCAGAAGCATTCTCAGAAACTTATTTGAGATGTGTGTACTCAACTAAGAGAATTGAACCACCGTTTTGAAGGAGCAGTTTTGAAACACTCTTTTTCTGGAATCTGCAAGAGGATATTTGCCTAGCTTTGAGGATTTCGTTGGAAACGGGATTGTGTTCAGATCAAATCTAGACAGAAGCATTCTCAGAAACTTCTTTGGGATGTTTGCATTCAAGTCACAGAGTAGAACATTCCCTTTGGTAGAGCAGGTGTGAAACACTCTTTTTTTAGTATATGGAAGTGGACATTTGGAGCGCTTTCAGGCCTACGTTGGAAAAGGAAATATCTTCCCATAACAACTAGACAGAAGCATTCTCAGAAACTAGTTTCTGATGTGTGTCCTCAACTAACACAGTTGTACATTTCTTTAGACAGAACAGTTTTGAAACACTCTTTTTGTGGAATCTGCAAGTGGATATTGGGCTAGATTTGAGGATTTCGTTGGAAACGGGATTACATATAAAAAGCAGTCAGCAGCATTCTCAGAAAGTTCTTTGTGATGATTGCATTCAAGTCACAGAATTGAACATTCCCTTTCACAGAGCAGGTTTGAAACACTCTTTTTGTAGTGTGTGTAAGTGGACATTTGGAGTGCTTTCCGGCCTAAGGTGAAAAAGGACATATCTTCCCATAAAAACTAGACAGAAGCATTCTCAGAAACTTACTCGTGATGTGTGTCCTCAACTAAAGGAGTAGAACCTTTCTATTCATAGAGAAGTTTTGAAACGCTCTTTTTGTGGAATCTCCAAGTGGATATTTGGTTAGTTTTGAGGATTTCGTTGGAAGCGGGAATTCATACAAATTGCAGACTGCAGCGTTCTGAGAAACATCTTTGTGATGTTTGTATTCAAGACACAGAGATGAACATTCCCTATCATAGAGCATGATGGAATCACTCCTTTTGTAGTATCTGGAAGTGGACATTTGGAGCGCTTTCAGGCCTATGTTGAAAAAGGAAATATCTTCCCATAACAACTAGACACAAGCATTCTCAGAAACTTATTTGAGATGTGTGTACTCAACTAAGAGAATTGAACCACCGTTTTGAAGGAGCAGTTTTGAAACTCTCTTTTTCTGGAATCTGCAAGTGGATATTTGGCTAGCTTTGGGGATTTCGCTGGAAGCGGGAATACATATAAAAAGCACACAGCAGCGTTCTGAGAAACTGCTTTCTGATGTTTGCATTCAAGTCAAAAGTTGAACACTCCCTTTCATAGAGCAGTCTTGAAACACCCCTTTTGTAGTATCTGGAACTGGACTTTTGGAGCGATTTCAGGGCTAAGGTGAAAAAGGAAATATCTTCCCATAAAAACTGGACAGAAGCATTCTCAGAAACTTGGTTATGCTGTATCTACTCAACTAACAAAGTTGAACCTTTCTTTTGATAGAGCAGTTTTGAAATGGTCTTTTTGTGGAATCTGCAAGTGGATATTTGGCTAGTTTTGAGGATTTCGTTGGAAGCGGGAATTCATACAAATTGCAGACTGCAGCGTTCTGAGAAACATCTTTGTGATGTTTGTATTCAGGACACAGAGTTGAACATTCCCTATCATAGAGCAGGTTGGAATCACTCCTTTTGTAGTATCTGGAAGTGGACATTTGGAGCGCTTTCAGGCCTATTTTGGAAAGGGAAATATCTTCCCGTAACAACTATGCAGAAGCATTCTCAGAAACTTGTTTGTGATGTGTGCCCTCTACTGACAGAGTTGAACCTTTCTTTTCATAGAGCAGTTTTGAAACACTCTTTTTGTAGAATCTGCAAGAGGATATTTGCATAGCTTTGAGGATTTCGTGGGAAACGGGATTGTCTTCAGGTAAAATCTAGACAGAACCATTCTCAGAAACTTCTTTGGGATGTTTGCATTCAAGTCACAGAGCAGAACATTCCCTTTGGTAGAGCAGGTTTGAAACACTCTTTTTGTAGTATCTGGAAGTGGACATTTGGAGCGCTTTCAGGCCTATGTTGGAAAGGGAAATATCTTCCCGTAACAACTAGGCAGAAGCATTCTCAGAAACTTATTTGAGATGTGTGTACTCAACTAAGAGAATTGAACCACCGTTTTGAAGGAGCAGTTTTGAAACACTCTTTTTCTGGAATCTGCAAGAGGATATTTGCCTAGCCTTGAGGATTTCGTTGGAAACGGGATTGTCTTCAGATCAAATCTAGACAGAAGCATTCTCAGAAACTTCTT
The DNA here is from genome assembly GCF_000001405.40 of Homo sapiens. Taxonomy (NCBI): domain Eukaryota; kingdom Metazoa; phylum Chordata; class Mammalia; order Primates; family Hominidae; genus Homo; species Homo sapiens. The sequence continues at coordinate 18,720,087 of NC_000018.10, forward strand.
TGGGATGTTTGCATTCAAGTCACAGAGTAGAACATTCCCTTTGGTAGAGCAGGTTTGAAACACTCTTTTTTTAGTATATGGAAGTGGACATTTGGAGCGCTTTCAGGCCTACGTTGGAAAAGGAAATATCTTCCCATAACAACTAGACAGAAGCATTCTCAGAAACTAGTTTCTGATGTGTGTCCTCAACTAACACAGTTGAACATTTCTTTAGACAGAACAGTTTTGAAACTCTCTTTTTGTGGAATCTGCAAGTGGCTATTTGGCTAGATTTGAGGATTTCGTTGGAAACGGGATTACATATAAAAAGCAGACAGCAGCATTCTCAGAAAGTTCTTTGTGATGATTGCATTCAAGTCACAGAATTGAACATTCCCTTTCACAGAGCAGGTTTGAAACACTCTTTTTGTAGTGTGTGTAAGTGGACATTTGGAGCACTTTCCGGCCTAAGGTGAGAAAGGAAATATCTTCCCATAAAAACTAGACAGAAGCATTCTCAGAAACTTACTCGTGATGTGTGTCCTCAACTAAAGGAGTAGAACCTTTCTATTCATAGAGAAGTTTTGAAACGCTCTTTTTGTGGAATCTCCAAGTGGATATTTGGCTAGTGTTGAGGATTTCGTTGGAAGCGGGAATTCATACAAAATTGCAGACTGCAGCGTTATGAGAAACATCTTTGTGATGTTTGTATTCAGGACACAGAGATGAACATTCCCTATCATAGAGCAGGTTGGAATCACTCCTTTTGTAGTATCTGGAAGTGGACATTTGGAGCGCTTTCAGGCCTATGTTGAAAAAGGAAATATCTTCCCATAGCAACTAGACACAAGCATTCTCAGAAACTTGTTTGTGATGTGTGCCCTCTACTGACAGAGTTGAACCTTTCTTTTCATAGAGCAGTTTTGAAACACTCTTTTTGTAGAATCTGCAAGAGGATATTTGCATAGCTTTGAGGATTTCGTGGGAAACGGGATTGTCTTCAGGTAAAATCTAGACAGAAGCATTCTCAGAAACTTCTTTGGGATGTTTGCATTCAAGTCACAGAGTAGAACATTCCCTTTGGTAGAGCAGGTTTGAAACACTCTTTTTGTAGTATCTGGAAGTGGACATTTGGAGCGCTTTCAGGCCTATGTTGGAAAGGGAAATATCTTCCCGTAACAACTAGGCAGAAGCATTCTCAGAAACTTATTTGAGATGTGTGTACTCAACTAAGAGAATTGAACCACCGTTTTGAAGGAGCAGTTTTGAAACACTCTTTTTCTGGAATCTGCAAGAGTATATTTGCCTAGCCTTGAGGATTTCGTTGGAAACGGGATTGTCTTCAGAGAAAATCTAGACAGAAGCATTCTCAGAAACTTCTTTGGGATGCTTGCATTCAAGTCACAGAGTAGAACATTCCCTTTGGTAGAGCAGGTTTGAAACACTCTTTTTGTAGTATCTGGAAGTGGACATTTGGAGCGCTTTCAGGCCTACGTTGGAAAAGGAAATATCTTCCCATAACAACTAGACAGAAGCATTCTCAGAAACTAGTTTCTGATGTGTGTCCTCAACTAACACAGTTGAACATTTCTTTAGACAGAACAGTTTTGAAACACTCTTTTTGTGGAATCTGCAAGTGGCTATTTGGCTAGATTTGAGGATTTCGTTGGAAACGGGATTACATATAAAAAGCAGTCAGCAGCATTCTCAGAAAGTTCTTTGTGATGATTGCATTCAAGTCACAGAATTGAACATTCCCTTTCACAGAGCAGGTTTGAAACACTCTTTTTGTAGTGTGTGTAAGTGGACATTTGGAGCACTTACCGGCCTAAGGTGAAAAAGGAAATAATCTTCCCATAAAAACTAGACAGAAGCATTCTCAGAAACTTACTCGTGATGTGTGTCCTCAACTAAAGGAGTAGAACCTTTCTTTTCATAGAGAAGTTTTGAAACGCTCTTTTTGTGGAATCTGCAAGTGGATATTTGGCTAGTTTTGAGGATTTCGTTGGAAGCGGGAATTCATACAAATTGCAGACTGCAGCGTTCTGAGAAACATCTTTGTGATGTTTGTATTCAGGACACAGAGTTGAACATTCCCTATCATAGAGCAGGTTTGAATCACTCCTTTTGTAGTATCTGGAAGTGGACATTTGGAGCGCTTTCAGGCCTATGTTGGAAAAGGAAATATCTTCCCATAACAACTAGACAGAAGCATTCCCAGAAACTTATTTGAGATGTGTGTACTCAACTAAGAGAATTGAACCACCGTTTTGAAGGAGCAGTTTGGAAACACTCTTTTTCTGGAATCTGCAAGTGGATATTTGGCTAGCTTTGGGGATTTCGCTGGAAGCGGGAATACATATAAAAAGCATACAGCAGCGTTCTGAGAAACTGCTTTCTGATGTTTGCATTCAAGTCAAAAGTTGAACACTCCCTTTCATAGAGCAGTCTTGAAACACCCCTTTTGTAGTATCTGGAACTGGAAATTTGGAGCGCTTTCAGGGCTAAGGTGAAAAAGGAAATATCTTCCCATAAAAACTGGACAGAAGCATTCTCAGAAACTTGTTTATGCTGTATCTACTCAGCTAACAAAGTTGAACCTTTCTTTTGATAGAGCAGTTTTGAAATGCTCTTTTTGTGGAGTCTGCAAGTGGATATTTGGCTAGTATTGAGGAATTCGTTGGAAGCGGGAATTCATACAAATTGCAGACTGCAGCGTTCTGAGAAACATCTTTGTGATGTTTGTATTCAGGACACAGAGTTGAACATTCCCTATCATAGAGGAGGTTGGAATCACTCCTTTTGTAGTATCTGGAAGTGGACATTTGGAGCGCTTTCAGGCCTATGTTGAAAAAGGAAATATCTTCCCATAACAAGTAGACACAAGCATTCTCAGAAACTTGTTTGTGATGTGTGCCCTCTACTGACAGAGTTGAACCTTTCTTTTCATAGAGCAGTTTCGAAACACTCTTTTTGTAGAATCTGCAAGAGGATATTTGCATAGCTTCGAGGATTTCGTGGGAAACGGGATTGTCTTCAGGTAAAATCTAGACAGAAGCATTCTCAGAAAATTCTTCGGGATGTTTGCATTCAAGTCACAGAGTAGAACATTCCCTTTGGTACAGCAGGTTTGAAACACTCTTTTTGTAGTATCTGGAAGTGGACATTTGGAGCGCTTTCAGGCCTATGTTGGAAAGGGAAATATCTTCCCGTAACAACTAGGCAGAAGCATTCTCAGAAACTTATTTGAGATGTGTGTACTCAACTAAGAGAATTGAACCACCGTTTTGAAGGAGCAGTTTTGAAACACTCTTTTTCTGGAATCTGCAAGAGTATATTTGCCTAGCCTTGAGGATTTCGTTGGAAACGGGATTGTCTTCAGAGAAAATCTAGACAGAAGCATTCTCAGAAACTTCTTTGGGATGCTTGCATTCAAGTCACAGAGTAGAACATTCCCTTTGGTAGAGCAGGTTTGAAACACTCTTTTTGTAGTATCTGGAAGTGGACATTTGGAGCGCTTTCAGGCCTACGTTGGAAAAGGAAATATCTTCCCATAACAACTAGACAGAAGCATTCTCAGAAACTAGTTTCTGATGTGTGTCCTCAACTAACAGAGTTGAACATTTCTTTAGACAGAACAGTTTTGAAACACTCTTTTTGTGGAATCTGCAAGTGGCTATTTGGCTAGATTTGAGGATTTCGTTGGAAACGGGATTACATATAAAAAGCAGTCAGCAGCATTCTCAGAAAGTTCTTTGTGATGATTGCATTCAAGTCACAGAATTGAACATTCCCTTTCACAGAGCAGGTTTGAAACACTCTTTTTGTAGTGTGTGTAAGTGGACATTTGGAGCACTTACCGGCCTAAGGTGAAAAAGGAAATAATCTTCCCATAAAAACTAGACAGAAGCATTCTCAGAAACTTACTCGTGATGTGTGTCCTCAACTAAAGGAGTAGAACCTTTCTTTTCATAGAGAAGTTTTGAAACGCTCTTTTTGTGGAATCTGCAAGTGGATATTTGGCTAGTTTGGAGGATTTCGTTGGAAGCGGGAATTCATACAAATTGCAGACTGCAGCGTTCTGAGAAACATCTTTGTGATGTTTGTATTCAGGACACAGAGTTGAACATTCCCTATCATAGAGCAGGTTGGAATCACTCCTTTTGTAGTATCTGGAAGTGGACATTTGGAGCGCTTTCAGGCCTATGTTGGAAAAGGAAATATCTTCCCATAACAACTAGACAGAAGCATTCTCAGAAACTTATTTGAGATGTGTGTACTCAACTAAGAGAATTGAACCACCGTTTTGAAGGAGCAGTTTTGAAACACTCTTTTTCTGGAATCTGCAAGTGGATATTTGGCTAGCTTTGGGGATTTCGCTGGAAGCGGGAATACATATAAAAAGCACACAGCAGCGTTCTGAGAAACTGCTTTCTGATGTTTGCATTCAAGTCAAAAGTTGAACACTCCCTTTCATAGAGCAGTCTTGAAACACCCCTTTTGTAGTATCTGGAACTGGACTTTTGGAGCGATTTCAGGGCTAAGGTGAAAAAGGAAATATCTTCCCATAAAAACTGGACAGAAGCATTCTCAGAAACTTGTTTATGCTGTATCTACTCAACTAACAAAGTTGAACCTTTCTTTTGATAGAGCAGTTTTGAAATGGTCTTTTTGTGGAATCTGCAAGTGGATATTTGGCTAGTTTTGAGGATTTCGTTGGAAGCGGGAATTCATACAAATTGCAGACTGCAGCGTTCTGAGAAACATCTTTGTGATGTTTGTATTCAGGACACAGAGTTGAACATTCCCTATCATAGAGCAGGTTTGAATCACTCCTTTTGTAGTATCTGGAAGTGGACATTTGGAGCGCTTTCAGGCCTATGTTGGAAAAGGAAATATCTTCCCATAACAACTAGACAGAAGCATTCTCAGAAACTTATTTGAGATGTGTCTACTCAACTAAGAGAATTGAACCACCGTTTTGAAGGAGCAGTTTTGAAACACTCTTTTTCTGGAATCTGCAAGTGGATATTTGGCTAGCTTTGGGGATTTCGCTGGAAGCGGGAATACATATAAAAAGCACACAGCAGCGTTCTGAGAAACTGCTTTCTGATGTTTGCATTCAAGTCAAAAGTTGAACACTCCCTTTCATAGAGCAGTCCTGAAACACCCCTTTTGTAGTATCTGGAACTGGACTTTTGGAGCGATTTCAGGGCTAAGGTGAAAAAGGAAATATCTTCCCATAAAAACTGGACAGAAGCATTCTCAGAAACTTGTTTATGCTGTATCTACTCAACTAACAAAGTTGAACCTTTCTTTTGATAGAGCAGTTTTGAAATGCTCTTTTTGTGGAATCTGCAAGTGGATATTTGGCTAGTTTGGAGGATTTCGTTGGAAGCGGGAATTCATACAAATTGCAGACTGCAGCGTTCTGAGAAACATCTTTGTGATGTTTGTATTCAGGACAGAGAGTTGAACATTCCCTATCATAGAGCAGGTTGGAATCACTCCTTTTGTAGTATCTGGAAGTGGACATTTGGAGCGCTTTCAGGCCTATGTTGAAAAAGGAAATATCTTCCCATAACAACTAGACACAAGCATTCTCAGAAACTTGTTTGTGATGTGTGCCCTCTACTGACACAGTTGAACCTTTCTTTTCATAGAGCAGTTTTGAAACACTCTTTTTGTCGAATCTGCAAGAGGATATTTGCATAGCTTTGAGGATTTCGTGGGAAACGGGATTGTCTTCAGGTAAAATCTAGACAGAAGCATTCTCAGAAACTTCTTTGGGATGTTTGCATTCAAGTCACAGAGTAGAACATTCCCTTTGGTAGAGCAGGTTTGAAAAACTCTTTTTGTAGTATCTGGAAGTGGACATTTGGAGCGCTTTCAGGCCCATGCTGGAAAGGGAAATATCTTCCCGTAACAACTAGGCAGAAGCATTCTCAGAAACTTATTTGAGATGTGTGTACTCAACTAAGAGAATTGAACCACCGTTTTGAAGGAGCAGTTTTGAAACACTCTTTTTCTGGAATCTGCAAGAGGATATTTGCCTAGCCTTGAGGATTTCGTTGGAAACGGGATTGTCTTCAGATCAAATCTAGACAGAAGCATTCTCAGAAACTTCTTTGGGATGTTTGCATTCAAGTCACAGAGTAGAACATTCCCTTTGGTAGAGCAGGTTTGAAACACTCTTTTTTTAGTATATGGAAGTGGACATTTGGAGCGCTTTCAGGCCTACGTTGGAAAAGGAAATATCTTCCCATAACAACTAGACAGAAGCATTCTCAGAAACTAGTTTCTGATGTGTGTCCTCAACTAACACAGTTGAACATTTCTTTAGACAGAACAGTTTTGAAACACTCTTTTTGTGGAATCTGCAAGTGGCTATTTGGCTAGATTTGAGGATTTCGTTGGAAACGGGATTACATATAAAAAGCAGACAGCAGCATTCTCAGAACTTTCTTTGTGATGATTGCATTCAAGTCACAGAATTGAACATTCCCTTTCACAGAGCAGGTTTGAAACACTCTTTTTGTAGTGTGTGTAAGTGGACATTTGGAGCACTTTCCGGCCTAAGGTGAAAAAGGAAATATCTTCCCATAAAAACTAGACAGAAGCATTCTCAGAAACTTACTCGTGATGTGTGTCCTCAACTAAAGGAGTAGAACCTTTCTTTTCATAGAGAAGTTTTGAAACGCTCTTTTTGTGGAATCTGCAAGTGGATATTTGGCTAGTTTGGAGGATTTCGTTGGAAGCGGGAATTCATACAAATTGCAGACTGCAGCGTTCTGAGAAACATCTTTGTGATGTTTGTATTCAGGACACAGAGTTGAACATTCCCTATCATAGAGCAGGTTTGAATCACTCCTTTTGTAGTATCTGGAAGTGGACATTTGGAGCGCTTTCAGGCCTATGTTAGAAAAGGAAATATCTTCCCATAACAACTAGACAGAAGCATTCTCAGAAACTTATTTGAGATGTGTGTACTCAACTAAGAGAATTGAACCACCGTTTTGAAGGAGCAGTTTTGAAACACTCTTTTTCTGGAATCTGCAAGTGGATATTTGGCTAGCTTTGGGGATTTCGCTGGAAGCGGGAATACATATAAAAAGCACACAGCAGCGTTCTGAGAAACTGCTTTCTGATGTTTGCATTCAAGTCAAAAGTTGAACACTCCCTTTCATAGAGCAGTCCTGAAACACTCCTTTTGTAGTATCTGGAACTGGACTTTTGGAGCGCTTTCAGGGCTAAGGTGAAAAAGGAAATATCTTCCCATAAAAACTGGACAGAAGCATTCTCAGAAACTTGTTTATGCTGTATCTACTCAACTAACAAAGTTGAACCTTTCTTTTGATAGAGCAGTTTTGAAATGCTCTTTTTGTGGAATCTGCAAGTGGATATTTGGCTAGTTTTGAGGATTTCGTTGGAAGCGGGAATTCGTACAAATTGCAGACTGCAGCGTTCTGAGAAACATCTTTGTGATGTTTGTATTCAGGACACAGAGATGAACATTCCCTATCATAGAGCAGGTTGGAATCACTCCTTTTGTAGTATCTGGAAGTGGACATTTGGAGCGCTTTCAGGCCTATGTTGAAAAAGGAAATATCTTCCCATAACAACTAGACACAAGCATTCTCAGAAACTTGTTTGTGATGTGTGCCCTCTACTGACAGAGTTGAACCTTTCTTTTCATAGAGCAGTTTTGAAACACTCTTTTTGTAGAATCTGCAAGAGGATATTTGCATAGCTTTGAGGATTTCGTGGGAAACGGGATTGTCTTCAGGTAAAATCTAGACAGAAGCATTCTCAGAAACTTCTTTGGGATGTTTGCATTCAAGTCACAGAGTAGAACATTCCCTTTGGTAGAGCAGGTTTGAAACACTCTTTTTGTAGTATCTGGAAGTGGACATTTGGAGCGCTTTCAGGCCTATGTTGGAAAGGGAAATATCTTCCCGTAACAACTAGGCAGAAGCATTCTCAGAAACTTATTTGAGATGTGTGTACTCAACTAAGAGAATTGAACCACCATTTTGAAGGAGCAGTTTTGAAACACTCTTTTTCTGGAATCTGCAAGAGGATATTTGCCTAGCCTTGAGGATTTCGTTGGAAACGGGATTGTCTTCAGATCAAATCTAGACAGAAGCATTCTCAGAAACTTCTTTGGGATGCTTGCATTCAAGTCACAGAGTAGAACATTCCCTTTGGTAGAGCAGGTTTGAAACACTCTTTTTGTAGTATCTGGAAGTGGACATTTGGAGCGCTTTCAGGCCTACGTTGGAAAAGGAAATATCTTCCCATAACAACTAGACAGAAGCATTCTCAGAAACTCGTTTCTGATGTGTGTCCTCAACTAACACAGTTGAACATTTCTTTAGACAGAACAGTTTTGAAACACTCTTTTTGTGGAATCTGCAAGTGGCTATTTGGCTAGATTTGAGGATTTCGTTGGAAACGGGATTACATATAAAAAGCAGTCAGCAGCATTCTCAGAAAGTTCTTTGTGATGATTGCATTCAAGTCACAGAATTGAACATTCCCTTTCACAGAGCAGGTTTGAAAGACTCTTTTTGTAGTGTGTGTAAGTGGACATTTGGAGCACTTACCGGCCTAAGGTGAAAAAGGAAATATCTTCCCATAAAAACTAGACAGAAGCATTCTCAGAAACTTACTCGTGATGTGTGTCCTCAACTAAAGGAGTAGAACCTTTCTTTTCATAGAGAAGTTTTGAAACGCTCTTTTTGTGGAATCTGCAAGTGGATATTTGGCTAGTTTTGAGGATTTCGTTGGAAGCGGGAATTCATACAAATTGCAGACTGCAGCGTTCTGAGAAACATCTTTGTGATGTTTGTATTCACGACACAGAGTTGAACATTCCCTATCATAGAGCAGGTTTGAATCACTCCTTTTGTAGTATCTGGAAGTGGACATTTGGAGCGCTTTCAGGCCTATGTTGGAAAAGGAAATATCTTCCCATAACAACTAGACAGAAGCATTCTCAGAAACTTATTTGAGATGTGTGTACTCAACTAAGAGAATTGAACCACCGTTTTGAAGGAGCAGTTTTGAAACACTCTTTTTCTGGAATCTGCAAGTGGATATTTGGCTAGCTTTGGGGATTTCGCTGGAAGCGGGAATACATATAAAAAGCACACAGCAGCGTTCTGAGAAACTGCTTTCTGATGTTTGCATTCAAGTCAAAAGTTGAACACTCCCTTTCATAGAGCAGTCCTGAAACACTCCTTTTGTAGTATCTGGAACTGGACTTTTGGAGCGCTTTCAGGGCTAAGGTGAAAAAGGAAATATCTTCCCATAAAAACTGGACAGAAGCATTCTCAGAAACTTACTCGTATTGTGTGTCCTCAACTAAAGGAGTAGAACCTTTCTTTTCATAGAGAAGTTTTGAAACGCTCTTTTTGTGGAATCTGCAAGTGGATATTTGGCTAGTTTTGAGGATTTCGTTGGAAGCGGGAATTCATACAAATTGCAGACTGCAGCATTCTCAGAAACTTGTTTATGCTGTATCTACTCAACTAACAAAGTTGAACCTTTCTTTTGATAGAGCAGTTTTGAAATGCTCTTTTTGTGGAATCTGCAAGTGGATATTTGGCTAGTTTTGAGGATTTCGTTGGAAGCGGGAATTCATACAAATTGCAGACTGCAGCGTTCTGAGAAACATCTTTGTGATGTTTGTATTCAGGACACAGAGTTGAACATTCCCTATCATAGAGCAGGTTGGAATCACTCCTTTTGTAGTATCTGGAAGTGGACATTTGGAGCGCTTTCAGGCCTATTTTGGAAAGGGAAATATCTTCCCGTAACAACTATGCAGAAGCATTCTCAGAAACTTGTTTGTGATGTGTGCCCTCTACTGACAGAGTTGAACCTTTCTTTTCATAGAGCAGTTTTGAAACACTCTTTTTGCAGAATCTGCAAGAGGATATTTGCATAGCTTTGAGGATTTCGTGGGAAACGGGATTGTCTTCAGGTAAAATCTAGACAGAAGCATTCTCAGAAACTTATTTGAGATGTGTGTACTGAACTAAGAGAATTGAACCACCGTTTTGAAGGAGCAGGTTTGAAACACTCTTTTTGTAGTATCTGGAAGTGGACATTTGGAGCGCTTTCAGGCCTATGTTGGAAAGGGAAATATCTTCCCGTAACAACTAGGCAGAAGCATTCTCAGAAACTTATTTGAGATGTGTGTACTCAACTAAGAGAATTGAACCACCGTTTTGAAGGAGCAGTTTTGAAACACTCTTTTTCTGGAATCTGCAAGAGGATATTTGCATAGATTTGAGGATTTCGTTGGAAACGGGATTGTCTTCAGATCAAATCTAGACAGAAGCATTCTCAGAAACTTCTTTGGGATGTTTGCATTCAAGTCACAGAGTAGAACATTCCCTTTGGTAGAGCAGGTTTGAAACACTCTTTTTTTAGTATATGGAAGTGGACATTTGGAGCGCTTTCAGGCCTACTTTGGAAAAGGAAATATCTTCCCATAACAACCAGACAGAAGCATTCTCAGAAACTAGTTTCTGATGTGTGTCCTCAACTAACACAGTTGAACATTTCTTTAGACAGAACAGTTTTGAAACACTCTCTTTGTGGAATCTGCAAGTGGATATTTGGCTAGATTTGAGGATTTCGTTGGAAACGGGATTACATATAAAAAGCAGACAGCAGCATTCTCAGAAACTTCTTTGTGATGATTGCATTCAAGTCACAGAATTGAACATTCCCTTTCACAGAGCAGGTTTGAAACACTCTTTTTGTAGTGTGTGTAAGTGGACATTTGGAGCACTTTCCGGCCTAAGGTGAAAAAGGAAATATCTTCCCATAAAAACTAGACAGAAGCATTCTCAGAAACTTACTCGTGATGTGTGTCCTCAACTAAAGGAGTAGAACCTTTCTATTCATAGAGAAGTTTTGAAACGCTCTTTTTGTGGAATCTCCAAGTGGATATTTGGCTAGTTTTGAGGATTTCGTTGGAAGCGGGAATTCATACAAATTGCAGACTGCAGCGTTCTGAGAAACATCTTTGTGATGTTTGTATTCAGGACACAGAGATGAACATTCCCTATCATAGAGCAGGTTGGAATCACTCCTTTTGTAGTATCTGGAAGTGGACATTTGGAGCGCTTTCAGGCCTATGTTGAAAAAGGAAATATCTTCCCATAACAACTAGACACAAGCATTCTCAGAAACTTATTTGAGATGTGTGTACTCAACTAAGAGAATTGAACCACCGTTTTGAAGGAGCAGTTTTGAAACTCTCTTTTTCTGGAATCTGCAAGTGGATATTTGGCTAGCTTTGGGGATTTCGCTGGAAGCGGGAATACATATAAAAAGCACACAGCAGCGTTCTGAGAAACTGCTTTCTGATGTTTGCATTCAAGTCAAAAGTTGAACACTCCCTTTCATAGAGCAGTCTTGAAACACCCCTTTTGTAGTATCTGGAACTGGACTTTTGGAGCGATTTCAGGGCTAAGGTGAAAAAGGAAATATCTTCCCATAAAAACTGGACAGAAGCATTCTCAGAAACTTGGTTATGCTGTATCTACTCAACTAACAAAGTTGAACCTTTCTTTTGATAGAGCAGTTTTGAAATGGTCTTTTTGTGGAATCTGCAAGTGGATATTTGGCTAGTTTTGAGGATTTCGTTGGAAGCGGGAATTCATACAAATTGCAGACTGCAGCGTTCTGAGAAACATCTTTGTGATGTTTGTATTCAGGACACAGAGTTGAACATTCCCTATCATAGAGCAGGTTGGAATCACTCCTTTTGTAGTATCTGGAAGTGGACATTTGGAGCGCTTTCCGGCCTACGTTGGAAAAGGAAATATCTTCCCATAACAACTAGACAGAAGCATTCTCAGAAACTTATTTGAGATGTGTGTACTCAACTAAGAGAATTGAACCACCGTTTTGAAGGAGCAGTTTTGAAACACTCTTTTTCTGGAATCTGCAAGTGGATATTTGGCTAGCTTTGGGGATTTCGCTGGAAGCGGGAATACATATAAAAAGCACACAGCAGCGTTCTGAGAAACTGCTTTCTGATGTTTGCATTCAAGTCAAAAGTTGAACACTCCCTTTCATAGAGCAGTCCTGAAACACCCCTTTTGTAGTATCTGGAACTGGACTTTTGGAGCGCTTTCAGGGCTAAGGTGAAAAAGGAAATATCTTCCCATAAAAACTGGACAGAAGCATTCTCAGAAACTTGTTTATGCTGTATCTACTCAACTAACAAAGTTGAACCTTTCTTTTGATAGAGCAGTTTTGAAATGCTCTTTTTGTGGAATCTGCAAGTGGATATTTGGCTAGTTTTGAGGATTTCGTTGGAAGCGGGAATTCATACAAATTGCAGACTGCAGCGTTCTGAGAAACATCTTTGTGATGTTTGTATTCAGGACACAGAGTTGAACATTCCCTATCATAGAGCAGGTTGGGATCACTCCTTTTGTAGTATCTGGAAGTGGACATTGGGAGCGCTTTCAGGCCTATGTTGAAAAAGGAAAAATCTTCCCATAACAACTAGACAGAAGCATTCTCAGAAACTTGTTTGTGATGTGTGCCCTCTACTGACAGAGTTGAACCTTTCTTTTCATAGAGCAGTTTTGAAACACTCTTTTTGTAGAATCTGCAAGAGGATATTTGCATAGCTTTGAGGATTTCGTGGGAAACGGGATTGTCTTCAGGTAAAATCTAGACAGAAGCATTCTCAGAAACTTCTTTGGGATGTTTGCATTCAAGTCACAGAGCAGAACATTCCCTTTGGTAGAGCAGGTTTGAAACACTCTTTTTGTAGTATCTGGAAGTGGACATTTGGAGCGCTTTCAGGCCTATGTTGGAAAGGGAAATATCTTCCCGTAACAACTAGGCAGAAGCATTCTCAGAAACTTATTTGAGATGTGTGTACTCAACTAAGAGAATTGAACCACCGTTTTGAAGGAGCAGTTTTGAAACACTCTTTTTCTGGAATCTGCAAGAGGATATTTGCCTAGCCTTGAGGATTTCGTTGGAAACGGGATTGTCTTCAGATCAAATCTAGACAGAAGCATTCTCAGAAACTTCTTTGGGATGTTTGCATTCATGTCACAGAGTAGAACATTCCCTTTGGTAGAGCAGGTTTGAAACACTCTTTTTTAAGTATATGGAAGTGGACATTTGGAGCGCTTTCAGGCCTACGTTGGAAAAGGAAATATCTTCCCATAACAACTAGACAGAAGCATTCTCAGAAACTAGTTTCTGATGTGTGTCCTCAACTAACACAGTTGTACATTTCTTTATACAGAACAGTTTTGAAACACTCTTTTTGTGGAATCTGCAAGTGGATATTGGGCTAGATTTGAGGATTTCGTTGGAAACGGGATTACATATAAAAAGCAGTCAGCAGCATTCTCAGAAAGTTCTTTGTGATGATTGCATTCAAGTCACAGAATTGAACATTCCCTTTCATAGAGCAGGTTTGAAACACTCTTTTTGTAGTGTGTGTAAGTGGACATTTGGAGCGCTTTCCGGCCTAAGGTGAAAAAGGACATATCTTCCCATAATAACTAGACAGATAAGCATTCTCAGAAACTTACTCGTGATGTGTGTCCTCAACTGAAGGAGTAGAACCTTTCTATTCATAGAGAAGTTTTGAAACGCTCTTTTTGTGGAATCTCCAAGTGGATATTTGGCTAGTTTTGAGGATTTCGTTGGAAGCGGGAATTCATACAAATTGCAGACTGCAGCGTTCTGAGAAACATCTTTGAAATGTTTGTATTCAAGACACAGAGATGAACATTCCCTATCATAGAGCATGTTGGAATCACTCCTTTTGTAGTATCTGGAAGTGGACATTTGGAGCGCTTTCAGGCCTATGTTGAAAAAGGAAATATCTTCCCATAACAACTAGACACAAGCATTCTCAGAAACTTGTTTGTGATGTGTGCCCTCTACTGACAGAGTTGAACCTTTCTTTTCATAGAGCAGTTTTGAAACACTCTTTTATAGAATCCGCAAGAGGATATTTGCATAGCTTTGAGGATTTCGTGGGAAACGGGATTGTCTTCAGGTAAAATCTAGACAGAAGCATTCTCAGAAACTTCTTTGGGATGTTTGCATTCAAGTCACAGAGTAGAACATTCCCTTTGGTAGAGCAGGTTTGAAACACTCTTTTTGTAGTATCTGGAAGTGGACATTTGGAGCGCTTTCAGGCCCATGTTGGAAAGGGAAATATCTTCCCGTAACAACTAGGCAGAAGCATTCTCAGAAACTTATTTGAGATGTGTGTACTCAACTAAGAGAATTGAACCACCGTTTTGAAGGAGCAGTTTTGAAACACTCTTTTTCTGGATTCTGCAAGAATATATTTGCCTAGCCTTGAGGATTTCGTTGGAAACGGGATTGTCTTCAGATAAAATCTAGACAGAAGCATTCTCAGAAACTTCTTTGGGATGCTTGCATTCAAGTCACAGAGTAGAACATTCCCTTTGGTAGAGCAGGTTTGAAACACTCTTTTTTTAGTATATGGAAGTGGACATTTGGAGCGCTTTCAGGCCTACGTTGGAAAAGGAAATATCTTCCCATAACAACTAGACAGAAGCATTCTCAGAAACTAGTTTCTGATGTGTGTCCTCAACTAACACAGTTGAACATTTCTTTAGACAGAACAGTTTTGAAACACTCTTTTTGTGGAATCTGCAAGTGGCTATTTGGCTAGATTTGAGGATTTCGTTGGAAACGGGATTACATATAAAAAGCAGTCAGCAGCATTCTCAGAAAGTTCTTTGTGATGATTGCATTCAAGTCACAGAATTGAACATTCCCTTTCACAGAGCAGGTTTGAAACACTCTTTTTGTAGTGTGTGTAAGTGGACATTTGGAGCACTTACCGGCCTAAGGTGAAAAAGGAAATATCTTCCCATAAAAACTAGACAGAAGCATTCTCAGAAACTTACTCGTGATGTGTGTCCTCAACTAAAGGAGTAGAACCTTTCTTTTCATAGAGAAGTTTTGAAACGCTCTTTTTGTGGAATCTGCAAGTGGATATTTGGCTAGTTTTGAGGATTTCGTTGGAAGCGGGAATTCATACAAATTGCAGACTGCAGCGTTCTGAGAAACATCTTTGTGATGTTTGTATTCAGGACACAGAGTTGAACATTCCCTATCATAGAGCAGGTTTGAATCACTCCTTTTGTAGTATCTGGAAGTGGACATTTGGAGTGCTTTCAGGCCTATGTTGGAAAAGGAAATATCTTCCCATAACAACTAGACAGGAAGCATTCTCAGAAACTTATTTGAGATGTGTGTACTCAACTAAGAGAATTGAACCACCGTTTTGAAGGAGCAGTTTTGAAACTCTCTTTTTCTGGAATCTGCAAGTGGATATTTGGCTAGCTTTGGGGATTTCGCTGGAAGCGGGAATACATATAAAAAGCACACAGCAGCGTTCTGAGAAACTGCTTTCTGATGTTTGCATTCAAGTCAAAAGTTGAACACTCCCTTTCATAGAGCAGTCTTGAAACACCCCTTTTGTAGTATCTGGAACTGGACTTTTGGAGCGATTTCAGGGCTAAGGTGAAAAAGGAAATATCTTCCCATAAAAACTGGACAGAAGCATTCTCAGAAACTTGGTTATGCTGTATCTACTCAACTAACAAAGTTGAACCTTTCTTTTGATAGAGCAGTTTTGAAATGGTCTTTTTGTGGAATCTGCAAGTGGATATTTGGCTAGTTTTGAGGATTTCGTTGGAAGCGGGAATTCATACAAATTGCAGACTGCAGCGTTCTGAGAAACATCTTTGTGATGTTTGTATTCAGGACACAGAGTTGAACATTCCCTATCATAGAGCAGGTTGGAATCACTCCTTTTGTAGTATCTGGAAGTGGACATTTGGAGCGCTTTCAGGCCTATTTTGGAAAGGGAAATATCTTCCCGTAACAACTATGCAGAAGCATTCTCAGAAACTTGTTTGTGATGTGTGCCCTCTACTGACAGAGTTGAACCTTTCTTTTCATAGAGCAGTTTTGAAACACTCTTTTTGTAGAATCTGCAAGAGGATATTTGCATAGCTTTGAGGATTTCGTGGGAAACGGGAGTGTCTTCAGGTAAAATCTAGACAGAAGCATTCTCAGAAACTTCTTTGGGATGTTTGCATTCAAGTCACAGAGTAGAACATTCCCTTTGGTAGAGCAGGTTTGAAACACTCTTTTTGTAGTATCTGGAAGTGGACATTTGGAGCGCTTTCAGGCCCATGTTGGAAAGGGAAATATCTTCCCGTAACAACTAGGCAGAAGCATTCTCTGAAACTTTTCTGAGATGTGTGTACTCAACTAAGAGAATTGAACCACCGTTTTGAAGGAGCAGTTTTGAAACACTCTTTTTCTGGAATCTGCTAGAGGATATTTGCCTAGCTTTGAGGATTTCGTTGGAAACCGGATTGTCTTCAGATAAAATCTAGACAGAAGCATTCTCAGAAACTTCTTTGGGATGTTTGTATTCAAGTCACAGAGTAGAACATTCCCTTTGGTAGAGCAGGTTTGAAACACTCTTTTTTTAGTATATGGAAATGGACATTTGGAGCGCTTTCAGGCCTACGTTGGAAAAGGAAATATCTTCCCATAACAACTAGACAGAAGCATTCTCAGAAACTAGTTTCTGATGTGTGTCCTCAACTAACACAGTTGAACTTTTCTTTAGACAGAACAGTTTTGAAACACTCTTTTTGTGGAATCTGCAAGTGGATATTTGGCTAGATTTGAGGATTTCGTTGGAAACGGGATTACATATAAAAAGCAGACAGCAGCATTCTCAGAAAGTTCTTTGTGATGATTGCATTCAAGTCACAGAATTGAACATTCCCTTTCACAGAGCAGGTTTGAAACACTCTTTTTGTAGTGTGTGTAAGTGGACATTTGGAGCGCTTTCCGGCCTAAGGTGAAAAAGGAAATATCTTCCCATAAAAACTAGACAGAAGCATTCTCAGAAACTTACTCGTGATGTGTGTCCTCAACTAAAGGAGTAGAACCTTTCTATTCATAGAGAAGTTTTCAAACGCTCTTTTTGTGGAATCTCCAAGTGGATATTTGGCTAGTTTTGAGGATTTCGTTGGAAGCAGGAATTCATACAAATTGCAGACTGGAGCGTTATGAGAAACATCTTTGTGATGTTTGTATTCAGGACACAGAGATGAACATTCCCTATCATAGAGCAGGTTGGAATCACTCCTTTTGTAGTATCTGGAAGTGGACATTTGGAGCGCTTTCAGGCCTATGTTGAAAAAGGAAATATCTTCCCATAACAACTAGACACAAGCATTCTCAGAAACTTATTTGAGATGTGTGTACTCAACTAAGAGAATTGAACCACCGTTTTGAAGGAGCAGTTTTGAAACACTCTTTTTCTGGAATCTGCAAGTGGATATTTGGCTAGCTTTGGGGATTTCGCTGGAAGCGGGAATACATATAAAAAGCACACAGCAGCGTTCTGAGAAACTGCTTTCTGATGTTTGCATTCAAGTCAAAAGTTGAACACTCCCTTTCATAGAGCAGTCTTGAAACACCCCTTTTGTAGTATCTGGAACTGGACATTTGGAGCGCTTTCAGGGCTAAGGTGAAAAAGGAAATATCTTCCCATAAAAACTGGACAGAAGCATTCTCAGAAACTTGTTTATGCTGTATCTACTCAACTAACAAAGTTGAACCTTTCTTTTGATAGAGCAGTTTTGAAATGCTCTTTTTGTGGAATCTGCAAGTGGATATTTGGCTAGTTTTGAGGATTTTCGTTGGAAGCCGGAATTCATACAAATTGCAGACTGCAGCATTCTCAGAAACTTATTTGAGATGTGTGTACTCAACTAAGAGAATTGAACCACCGTTTTGAAGGAGCAGTTTTGAAACACTCTTTTTCTGGAATCTGCAAGTGGATATTTGGCTAGCTTTGGGGATTTCGCTGGAAGCGGGAATACATATAAAAAGCACACAGCAGCGTTCTGAGAAACTGCTTTCTGATGTTTGCATTCAAGTCAAAAGTTGAACACTCCCTTTCATAGAGCAGTCTTGAAACACCCCTTTTGTAGTATCTGGAACTGGACTTTTGGAGCGATTTCAGGGCTAAGGTGAAAAAGGAAATATCTTCCCATAAAAACTGGACAGAAGCATTCTCAGAAACTTGTTTATGCTGTATCTACTCAACTAACAAAGTTGAACCTTTCTTTTGATAGAGCAGTTTTGAAATGGTCTTTTTGTGGAATCTGCAAGTGGATATTTGGCTAGTTTTGAGGATTTCGTTGGAAGCGGGAATTCATACAAATTGCAGACTGCAGCGTTCTGAGAAACATCTTTGTGATGTTTGTATTCAGGACACAGAGTTGAACATTCCCTATCATAGAGCAGGTTGGAATCACTCCTTTTGTAGTATCTGGAAGTGGACATTTGGAGCGCTTTCAGGCCTATTTTGGAAAGGGAAATATCTTCCCGTAACAACTATGCAGAAGCATTCTCAGAAACTTGTTTGTGATGTGTGCCCTCTACTGACAGAGTTGAACCTTTCTTTTCATAGAGCAGTTTTGAAACACTCTTTTTGTAGAATCTGCAAGAGGATATTTGCATAGCTTTGAGGATTTCGTGGGAAACGGGATTGTCTTCAGGTAAAATCTAGACAGAAGCATTCTCAGAAACTTCTTTGGGATGTTTGCATTCAAGTCACAGAGTAGAACATTCCCTTTGGTAGAGCAGGTTTGAAACACTCTTTTTGTAGTATCTGGAAGTGGACATTTGGAGCGCTTTCAGGCCCATGTTGGAAAGGGAAATATCTTCCCATAACAACTAGGCAGAAGCATTCTCAGAAACTTATTTGAGATGTGTGTACTCAACTAAGAGAATTGAACCACCGTTTTGAAGGAGCAGTTTTGAAACACTCTTTTTCTGGAATCTGCAAGAGTATATTTGCCTAGCCTTGAGGATTTCGTTGGAAACGGGATTGTCTTCAGAGAAAATCTAGACAGAAGTATTCTCAGAAACTTCTTTGGGATGTTTGCATTCAAGTCACAGAGTAGAACATTCCCTTTGGTAGAGCAGGTTTGAAACACTCTTTTTGTAGTATCTGGAAGTGGACATTTGGAGCGCTTTCAGGCCTACGTTGGAAAAGGAAATATCTTCCCATAACAACTAGACAGAAGCATTCTCAGAAACTAGTTTCTGATGTGTGTTCTCAACTAACACAGTTGAACATTTCTTTAGACAGAACAGTTTTGAAACACTCTTTTTGTGGAATCTGCAAGTGGCTATTTGGCTAGATTTGAGGATTTCGTTGGAAACGGGATTACATATAAAAAGCAGTCAGCAGCATTCTCAGAAAGTTCTTTGTGATGATTGCATTCAAGTCACAGAATTGAACATTCCCTTTCACAGAGCAGGTTTGAAACACTCTTTTTGTAGTGTGTGTAAGTGGACATTTGGAGCACTTTCCGGCCTAAGGTGAAAAAGGAAATATCTTCCCTTAAAAACTAGACAGAAGCATTCTCAGAAACTTACTCGTGATGTGTGTCCTCAACTAAAGGAGTAGAACCTTTGTTTTCATAGAGAAGTTTTGAAACGCTCTTTTTGTGGAATCTGCAAGTGGATATTTGGCTAGTTTTGAGGATTTCGTTGGAAGCGGGAATTCATACAAATTGCAGACTGCAGCGTTCTGAGAAACATCTTTGTGATGTTTGTATTCAGGACACAGAGTTGAACATTCCCTATCATAGAGCAGGTTGGAATCACTCCTTTTGTAGTATCCGGAAGTGGACATTTGGAGCGCTTTCAGGCCTATGTTGGAAAAGGAAATATCTTCCCATAACAACTAGACAGAAGCATTCTCAGAAACTTGTTTGTGATGTGTGCCCTCTACTGACAGAGTTGAACCTTTCTTTTCATAGAGCAGTTTTGAAACACTCTTTTTGTAGAATCTGCAAGAGGATATTTGCATAGCTTTGAGGATTTCGTGGGAAACGGGATTGTCTTCAGGTAAAATCTAGACAGAAGCATTCTCAGAAACTTCTTTGGGATGTTTGCATTCATGTCACAGAGTAGAACATTCCCTTTGGTAGAGCAGGTTTGAAACACTCTTTTTATAGTATCTGGAAGTGGACATTTGGAGCGCTTTCAAGCCTATGTTGGAAAGGGAAATATCTTCCCGTAACAACTAGGCAGAAGCATTCTCAGAAACTTATTTGAGATGTGTGTACTCAACTAAGAGAATTGAACCACCGTTTTGAAGGAGCAGTTTTGAAACACTCTTTTTCTGGAATCTGCAAGAGGATATTTGCCTAGCTTTGAGGATTTCGTTGGAAACGGGATTGTGTTCAGATCAAATCTAGACAGAAGCATTCTCAGAAACTTCTTTGGGATGTTTGCATTCAAGTCACAGAGTAGAACATTCCCTTTGGTAGAGCAGGTGTGAATCACTCTTTTTTTAGTATATGGAAGTGGACATTTGGAGCGCTTTCAGGCCTACGTTGGAAAAGGAAATATCTTCCCATAACAACTAGACAGAAGCATTCTCAGAAACTAGTTTCTGATGTGTGTCCTCAACTAACACAGTTGTACATTTCTTTAGACAGAACAGTTTTGAAACACTCTTTTTGTGGAATCTGCAAGTGGATATTTGGCTAGATTTGAGGATTTCTTTGGAAACGGGATTACATATAAAAAGCTGACAGCAGCATTCTCAGAAAGTTCTTTGTGATGATTGCATTCAAGTCACTGAATTGAACATTCCCTTTCACAGAGCAGGTTTGAAACACTCTTTTTGTAGTGTGTGTAAGTGGACATTTGGAGCACTTACCGGCCTAAGGTGAAAAAGGAAATATCTTCCCATAAAAACTAGACAGAAGCATTCTCAGAAACTTACTCGTGATGTGTGTCCTCAACTAAAGGAGTAGAACCTTTCTTTTCATAGAGAAGTTTTGAAACGCTCTTTTTGTGGAATCTGCAAGTGGATATTTGGCTAGTTTGGAGGATTTCGTTGGAAGCGGGAATTCATACAAATTGCAGACTGCAGCTTTCTGAGAAACATCTTTGTGATGTTTGTATTCAGGACACAGAGTTGAACATTCCCTATCATAGAGCAGGTTTGAATCACTCCTTTTGTAGTATCTGGAAGTGGACATTTGGAGCGCTTTCAAGCCTATGTTGGAAAAGGAAATATCTTCCCATAACAACTAGACAGAAGCATTCTCAGAAACTTATTTGAGATGTGTGTACTCAACTAAGAGAATTGAACCACCGTTTTGAAGGAGCAGTTTTGAAACACTCTTTTTCTGGAATCTGCAAGTGGATATTTGGCTAGCTTTGGGGATTTCGCTGGAAGCGGGAATACATATAAAAAGCACACAGCACAGCGTTCTGAGCAAACTGCTTTCTGATGTTTGCATTCAAGTCAAAAGTTGAACACTCCCTTTCATAGAGCAGTCTTGAAACACCCCTTTTGTAGTATCTGGAACTGGACTTTTGGAGCGATTTCAGGGCTAAGGTGAAAAAGGAAATATCTTCCCATAAAAACTGGACAGAAGCATTCTCAGAAACTTGTTTATGCTGTATCTACTCAACTAACAAAGTTGAACCTTTCTTTTGATAGAGCAGTTTTGAAATGGTCTTTTTGTGGAATCTGCAAGTGGATATTTGGCTAGTTTTGAGGATTTCGTTGGAAGCGGGAATTCATACAAATTGCAGACTGCAGCGTTCTGAGAAACATCTTTGTGATGTTTGTATTCAGGACACAGAGTTGAACATTCCCTATCATAGAGCAGGTTGGAATCACTCCTTTTGTAGTATCTGGAAGTGGACATTTGGAGCGCTTTCAGGCCTATTTTGGAAAGGGAAATATCTTCCCGGTAACAACTATGCAGAAGCATTCTCAGAAACTTGTTTGTGATGTGTGCCCTCTACTGACACAGTTGATCCTTTCTTTTCATAGAGCAGTTTCGAAACACTCTTTTTGTAGAATCTGCAAGAGGATATTTGCCTAGCTTTGAGGATTTCGTGGGAAACGGCATTGTCTTCAGGTAAAATCTAGACAGAAGCATTCTCAGAAACTTCTTTGGGATGTTTGCATTCAAGTCACAGAGTAGAACATTCCCTTTGGTAGAGCAGGTTTGAAACACTCTTTTTGTAGTATCTGGAAGTGGACATTTGGAGCGCTTTCAGGCCTATGTTGGAAAGGGAAATATCTTCCCGTAACAACTAGGCAGAAGCATTCTCAGAAACTTATTTGAGATGTGTGTACTCAACTAAGAGAATTGAACCACCGTTTTGAAGGAGCAGTTTTGAAACACTCTTTTTCTGGAATCTGCAAGAGGATATTTGCCTAGCCTTGAGGATTTCGTTGGAAACGGGATTGTCTTCAGATCAAATCTAGACAGAAGCATTCTCAGAAACTTCTTTGGGATGTTTGCATTCAAGTCACAGAGTAGAACATTCCCTTTGGTTGAGCAGGTTTGAAACACTCTTTTTTTAGTATATGGAAGTGGACATTTGGAGCGCTTTCAGGTCTACGTTGGAAAAGGAAATATCTTCCCATAACAACTAGACAGAAGCATTCTCAGAAACTAGTTTCTGATGTGTGTCCTCAACTAACACAGTTGAACATTTCTTTAGACAGAACAGTTTTGAAACACTCTTTTTGTGGAATCTGCAAGTGGCTATTTGGCTAGATTTGAGGATTTCGTTGGAAACGGGATTACATATAAAAAGCAGACAGCAGCATTCTCAGAAAGTTCTTTGTGATGATTGCATTCAAGTCACAGAATTGAACATTCCCTTTCACAGAGCAGGTTTGAAACACTCTTTTTGTAGTGTGTGTAAGTGGACATTTGGAGCACTTTCCGGCGCTAAGGTGAAAAAGGAAATATCTTCCCATAAAAACTAGACAGAAGCACTCTCAGAAACTTACTCGTGATGTGTGTCCTCAACTAAAGGAGTAGAACCTTTCTTTTCATAGAGAAGTTTTGAAACGCTCTTTTTGTGGAATCTGCAAGTGGATATTTGGCTAGTTTGGAGGATTTCGTTGGAAGCGGGAATTCATACAAATTGCAGACTGCAGCGTTCTGAGAAACATCTTTGTGATGTTTGTATTCAGGACACAGAGTTGAACATTCCCTATCATAGAGCAGGTTGGAATCACTCCTTTTGTAGTATCTGGAAGTGGACATTTGGAGCGCTTTCAGGCCTATGTTGGAAAAGGAAATATCTTCCCATAACAACTAGACAGAAGCATTCTCAGAAACTTATTTGAGATGTGTGTACTCAACTAAGAGAATTGAACCACCGTTTTGAAGGAGCAGTTTTGAAACACTCTTTTTCTGGAATCTGCAAGTGGATATTTGGCTAGCTTTTGGGATTTCGCTGGAAGCGGGAATACATCTAAAAAGCACACAGCAGCGTTCTGAGAAACTGCTTTCTGATGTTTGCATTCAAGTCAAAAGTTGAACACTCCCTTTCATAGAGCAGTCCTGAAACACTCCTTTTGTAGTATCTGGAACTGGACTTTTGGAGCGCTTTCAGGGCTAAGGTGAAAAAGGAAATATCTTCCCATAAAAACTGGACAGAAGCATTCTCAGAAACTTGTTTATGCTGTATCTACTCTACTAACAAAGTTGAACCTTTCTTTTGATAGAGCAGTTTTGAAATGCTCTTTTTGTGGAATCTGCAAGTGGATATTTGGCTAGATTTGAGGATTTCGTTGGAAGCTGGAATTCATACAAATTGCAGACTGCAGCGTTCTGAGAAACATCTTTGTGATGTTTGTATTCAGGACACAGAGATGAACATTCCCTATCATAGAGCAGGTTGGAATCACTCCTTTTGTAGTATCTGGAAGTGGACATTTGGAGCGCTTTCAGGCCTATGTTGAAAAAGGAAATATCTTCCCATAACAACTAGACACAAGCATTCTCAGAAACTTGTTTGTGATGTGTGCCCTCTACTGACAGAGTTGAACCTTTCTTTTCATAGAGCAGTTTTGAAACACTCTTTTTGTAGAATCTGCAAGAGGATATTTGCATAGCTTTGAGGATTTCGTGGGAAACGGGATTGTCTTCAGGTAAAATCTAGACAGAAGCATTCTCAGAAACTTCTTTGGGATGTTTGCATTCAAGTCACAGAGTAGAACATTCCCTTTGGTAGAGCAGGTTTGAAACCCTCTTTTTGTAGTATCTGGAAGTGGACATTTGGAGCGCTTTCAGGCCCATGTTGGAAAGGGAAATATCTTCCCGTAACAACTAGGCAGAAGCATTCTCAGAAACTTATTTGAGATGTGTGTACTCAACTAAGAGAATTGAACCACCGTTTTGAAGGAGCAGTTTTGAAACACTCTTTTTCTGGAATCTGCAAGAGTATATTTGCCTAGCCTTGAGGATTTCGTTGGAAACGGGATTGTCTTCAGATCAAATCTAGACAGAAGCATTCTCAGAAACTTCTTTGGGATGTTTGCATTCAAGTCACAGAGTAGAACATTCCCTTTGGTAGAGCAGGTTTGAAACACTCTTTTTTTAGTATATGGAAGTGGACATTTGGAGCGCTTTCAGGCCTACGTTGGAAAAGGAAATATCTTCCCATAACAACTAGACAGAAGCATTCTCAGAAACTAGTTTCTGATGTGTGTCCTCAACTAACACAGTTGAACATTTCTTTAGACAGAACAGTTTTGAAACTCTCTTTTTGTGGAATCTGCAAGTGGCTATTTGGCTAGATTTGAGGATTTCGTTGGAAACGGGATTACATATAAAAAGCAGACAGCAGCATTCTCAGAAATTTCTTTGTGATGATTGCATTCAAGTCACAGAATTGAACATTCCCTTTCACAGAGCAGGTTTGAAACACTCTTTTTGTAGTGTGTGTAAGTGGACATTTGGAGCACTTTCCGGCCTAAGGTGAAAAAGGAAATATCTTCCCATAAAAACTAGACAGAAGCATTCTCAGAAACTTACTCGTGATGTGTGTCCTCAACTAAAGGAGTAGAACCTTTGTTTTCATAGAGAAGTTTTGAAACGCTCTTTTTGTGGAATCTGCAAGTGGATATTTGGCTAGTTTTGAGGATTTCGTTGGAAGCGGGAATTCATACAAATTGCAGACTGCAGCGTTCTGAGAAACATCTTTGTGATGTTTGTATTCAGGACACAGAGTTGAACATTCCCTATCATAGAGCAGGTTGGAATCACTCCTTTTGTAGTATCTGGAAGTGGACATTTGGAGCGCTTTCAGGCCTATGTTGGAAAAGGAAATATCTTCCCATAACAACTAGACAGAAGCATTCTCAGAAACTTATTTGAGATGTGTGTACTCAACTAAGAGAATTGAACCACCGTTTTGAAGGAGCAGTTTTGAAACACTCTTTTTCTGGAATCTGCAAGTGGATATTTGGCTAGATTTGAGGATTTCGTTGGAAACGGGATTACATATAAAAAGCAGACAGCAGCAGTCTCAGAAAGTTCTTTGTGATGATTGCATTCAAGTCACAGAATTGAACATTCCCTTTCACAGAGCAGGTTTGAAACACTCTTTTTGTAGTGTGTGTAAGTGGACATTTGGAGCACTTTCCGGCCTAAGGTGAAAAAGGAAATATCTTCCCATAAAAACTAGACAGAAGCATTCTCAGAAACTTACTCGTGATGTGTGTCCTCAACTAAAGGAGTAGAACCTTTCTTTTCATAGAGAAGTTTTGAAACGCTCTTTTTGTGGAATCTGCAAGTGGATATTTGGCTAGTTTTGAGGATTTCGTTGGAAGCGGGAATTCATACAAATTGCAGACTGCAGCGTTCTGAGAAACATCTTTGTGATGTTTGTATTCAGGACACAGAGATGAACATTCCCTATCATAGAGCAGGTTGGAATCACTCCTTTTGTAGTATCTGGAAGTGGACATTTGGAGCGCTTTCAGGCCTATGTTGAAAAAGGAAATATCTTCCCATAACAACTAGACACAAGCATTCTCAGAAACTTATTTGAGATGTGTGTACTCAACTAAGAGAATTGAACCACCGTTTTGAAGGAGCAGTTTTGAAACTCTCTTTTTCTGGAATCTGCAAGTGGATATTTGGCTAGCTTTGGGGATTTCGCTGGAAGCGGGAATACATATAAAAAGCACACAGCAGCGTTCTGAGAAACTGCTTTCTGATGTTTGCATTCAAGTCAAAAGTTGAACACTCCCTTTCATAGAGCAGTCCTGAAACACCCCTTTTGTAGTATCTGGAACTGGACTTTTGGAGCGATTTCAGGGCTAAGGTGAAAAAGGAAATATCTTCCCATAAAAACTGGACAGAAGCATTCTCAGAAACTTGTTTATGCTGTATCTACTCAACTAACAAAGTTGAACCTTTCTTTTGATAGAGCAGTTTTGAAATGGTCTTTTTGTGGAATCTGCAAGTGGATATTTGGCTAGTTTTGAGGATTTCGTTGGAAGCGGGAATTCATACAAATTGCAGACTGCAGCGTTCTGAGAAACATCTTTGTGATGTTTGTATTCAGGACACAGAGTTGAACATTCCCAATCATAGAGCAGGTTTGAATCACTCTTTTTGTAGTATCTGGAAGTGGACATTTGGAGCGCTTTCAGGCCTATGTTGGAAAAGGAAATATCTTCCCATAACAACTAGACAGAAGCATTCTCAGAAACTTGTTTGTGATGTGTGCCCTCTACTGACAGAGTTGAACCTTTCTTTTCATAGAGCAGTTTTGAAACACTCTTTTTGTAGAATCTGCAAGAGGATATTTGCATAGCTTGAGGATTTCGTGGGAAACGGGATTGTCTTCAGGTAAAATCTAGACAGAAGCATTCTCAGAAACTTCTTTGGGATGTTTGCATTCAAGTCACAGAGTAGAACATTCCCTTTGGTAGAGCAGGTTTGAAACACTCTTTTTGTAGTATCTGGAAGTGGACATTTGGAGCGCTTTCAGGCCCATGTTGGAAAGGGAAATATCTTCCCGTAACAACTAGGCAGAAGCATTCTCAGAAACTTATTTGAGATGTGTGTACTCAACTAAGAGAATTGAACCACCGTTTTGAAGGAGCAGTTTTGAAACACTCTTTTTCTGGAATCTGCAAGAGGATATTTGCCTAGCCTTGAGGATTTCGTTGGAAACGGGATTGTCTTCAGAGAAAATCTAGACAGAAGCATTCTCAGAAACTTCTTTGGGATGCTTGCATTCAAGTCACAGAGTAGAACATTCCCTTTGGTAGAGCAGGTTTGAAACACTCTTTTCGTAGTATCTGGAAGTGGACATTTGGAGCGCTTTCAGGCCTACGTTGGAAAAGGAAATATCTTCCCATAACAACTAGACAGAAGCATTCTCAGAAACTAGTTTCTGATGTGTGTCCTCAACTAACACAGTTGAACATTTCTTTAGACAGAACAGTTTTGAAACACTCTTTTTGTGGAATCTGCAAGTGGCTATTTGGCTAGATTTGAGGATTTCGTTGGAAACGGGATTACATATAAAAAGCAGTCAGCAGCATTCTCAGAAAGTTCTTTGTGATGATTGCATTCAAGTCACAGAATTGAACATTCCCTTTCACAGAGCAGGTTTGAAACACTCTTTTTGTAGTGTGTGTAAGTGGACATTTGGAGCACTTACCGGCCTAAGGTGAAAAAGGAAATAATCTTCCCATAAAAACTAGACAGAAGCATTCTCAGTAAACTTACTCGTGATGTGTGTCCTCAACTAAAGGTGTAGAACCTTTCTTTTCATAGAGAAGTTTTGAAACGCTCTTTTTGTGGAATCTGCAAGTGGATATTTGGCTAGTTTTGAGGATTTCGTTGGAAGCGGGAATTCATACAAATTGCAGACTGCAGCGTTCTGAGAAACATCTTTGTGATGTTTGTATTCAGGACACAGAGTTGAACATTCCCTATCATAGAGCAGGTTTGAATCACTCCTTTTGTAGTATCTGGAAGTGGACATTTGGAGCGCTTTCAGGCCTATGTTGGAAAAGGAAATATCTTCCCATAACAACTAGACAGAAGCATTCTCAGAAACTTATTTGAGATGTGTGTACTCAACTAAGAGAATTGAACCACCGTTTTGAAGGAGCAGTTTTGAAACGCTCTTTTTCTGGAATCTGCAAGTGGATATTTGGCTAGCTTTGGGGATTTCGCTGGAAGCGGGAATACATATAAAAAGCACACAGCAGCGTTCTGAGAAACTGCTTTCTGATGTTTGCATTCAAGTCAAAAGTTGAACACTCCCTTTCATAGAGCAGTCCTGAAACACCCCTTTTGTAGTATCTGGAACTGGACTTTTGGAGCGATTTCAGGGCTAAGGTGAAAAAGGAAATATCTTCCCATAAAAACTGGACAGAAGCATTCTCAGAAACTTGTTTATGCTGTATCTACTCAACTAACAAAGTTGAACCTTTCTTTTGATAGAGCAGTTTTGAAATGGTCTTTTTGTGGAATCTGCAAGTGGATATTTGGCTAGTTTTGAGGATTTCGTTGGAAGCGGGAATTCATACAAATTGCAGACTGCAGCGTTCTGAGAAACATCTTTGTGATGTTTGTATTCAGGACACAGAGTTGAACATTCCCTATCATAGAGCAGGTTGGAATCACTCCTTTTGTAGTATCTGGAAGTGGACATTTGGAGCGCTTTCAGGCCTATTTTGGAAAGGGAAATATCTTCCCGTAACAACTATGCAGAAGCATTCTCAGAAACTTGTTTGTGATGTGTGCCCTCTACTGACAGAGTTGAACCTTTCTTTTCATAGAGCAGTTTTGAAACACTCTTTTTGTAGAATCTGCAAGAGGATATTTGCATAGCTTTGAGGATTTCGTGGGAAACGGGATTGTCTTCAGGTAAAATCTAGACAGAAGCATTCTCAGAAACTTCTTTGGGATGTTTGCATTCAAGTCACAGAGTAGAACATTCCCTTTGGTAGAGCAGGTTTGAAACCCTCTTTTTGTAGTATCTGGAAGTGGACATTTGG
Source organism: Homo sapiens (assembly GCF_000001405.40). Classification (NCBI taxonomy): domain Eukaryota; kingdom Metazoa; phylum Chordata; class Mammalia; order Primates; family Hominidae; genus Homo; species Homo sapiens. The sequence goes on from NC_000018.10 coordinate 18,749,014, forward strand.
AGCGCTTTCAGGCCCATGTTGGAAAGGGAAATATCTTCCCGTAACAACTAGGCAGAAGCATTCTCAGAAACTTATTTGAGATGTGTGTACTCAACTAAGAGAATTGAACCACCGTTTTGAAGGAGCAGATTTGAAACACTCTTTTTCTGGAATCTGCAAGAGTATATTTGCCTAGCCTTGAAGATTTCGTTGGAAACGGGATTGTCTTCAGATAAAATCTAGACAGAAGCATTCTCAGAAACTTCTTTGGGATGCTTGCATTCAAGTCACAGAGTAGAACATTCCCTTTGGTAGAGCAGGTTTGAAACACTCTTTTTGTAGTATCTGGAAGTGGACATTTGGAGCGCTTTCAGGCCTACGTTGGAAAAGGAAATATCTTCCCATAACAACTAGACAGAAGCATTCTCAGAAACTAGTTTCTGATGTGTGTCCTCAACTAACACAGTTGAACATTTCTTTAGACAGAACAGTTTTGAAACACTCTTTTTGTGGAATCTGCAAGTGGCTATTTGGCTAGATTTGAGGATTTCGTTGGAAACGGGATTACATATAAAAAGCAGTCAGCGGCATTCTCAGAAAGTTCTTTGTGATGATTGCATTCAAGTCACAGAATTGAACATTCCCTTTCACAGAGCAGGTTTGAAACACTCTTTTTGTAGTGTGTGTAAGTGGACATTTGGAGCACTTACCGGCCTAAGGTGAAAAAGGAAATATCTTCCCATAAAAACTAGACAGAAGCATTCTCAGAAACTTACTCGTGATGTGTGTCCTCAACTAAAGGAGTAGAACCTTTCTTTTCATAGAGAAGTTTTGAAACGCTCTTTTTGTGGAATCTGCAAGTGGATATTTGGCTAGTTTTGAGGATTTCGTTGGAAGCGGGAATTCATACAAATTGCAGACTGCAGCGTTCTGAGAAACATCTTTGTGATGTTTGTATTCAGGACACAGAGTTGAACATTCCCTATCATAGAGCAGGTTGGAATCACTCCTTTTGTAGTATCTGGAAGTGGACATTTGGAGCGCTTTCAGGCCTATGTTGAAAAAGGAAATATCTTCCCATAACAACTAGACAGAAGCATTCTCAGAAACTTATTTGAGATGTGTGTACTCAACTAAGAGAATTGAACCACCGTTTTGAAGGAGCAGTTTTGAAACACTCTTTTTCTGGAATCTGCAAGTGGATATTTGGCTAGCTTTGGGGATTTCGCGGGAAGCGGGAATACATATAAAAAGCACACAGCAGCGTTCTGAGAAACTGCTTTCTGATGTTTGCATTCAAGTCAAAAGTTGAACACTCCCTTTCACAGAGCAGTCTTGAAACACCCCTTTTGTAGTATCTGGAACTGGACATTTGGAGCGCTTTCAGGGCTAAGGTGAAAAAGGAAATATCTTCCCATAAAAACTGGACAGAAGCATTCTCAGAAACTTGTTTATGCTGTATCTACTCAACTAACAAAGTTGAACCTTTCTTTTGATAGAGCAGTTTTGAAATCCTCTTTTTGTGGAATCTGCAAGTGCATATTTGGCTAGGTTTGAGGATTTCGTTGGAAGCGGGAATTCATACAAATTGCAGACTGCAGCGTTCTGAGAAACGTCTTTGTAATGTTTGTATTCAGGACACAGAGTTGAACATTCCCTATCATAGAGCAGGTTGGAATCACTCCTTTTGTAGTATCTGGAAGTGGACATTTGGAGCGCTTTCAGGCCTATGTTGAAAAAGGAAATATCTTCCCATAACAACTAGACAGAAGCATTCTCAGAAACTTGTTTGTGATGTGTGCCCTCTACTGACAGAGTTGAACCTTTCTTTTCATAGAGCAGTTTTGAAACACTCTTTTTGTAGAATCTGCAAGAGGATATTTGCATAGCTTTGAGGATTTCGTGGGAAACGGGATTGTCTTCAGGTAAAATCTAGACAGAAGCATTCTCAGAAACTTCTTTGGGATGTTTGCATTCAAGTCACAGAGTAGAACATTCCCTTTGGTAGAGCAGGTTTGAAAACCTCTTTTGGTAGTATCTGGAAGTGGACATTTGGAGCGCTATCAGGCCCATGTTGGAAAGGGAAATATCTTCCCGTAACAACTAGGCAGAAGCATTCTCAGAAACTTATTTGAGATGTGTGTACTCAACTAAGAGAATTGAACCACCGTTTTGAAGGAGCAGTTTTGAAACACTCTTTTTCTGGAATCTGCAAGAGTATATTTGCCTAGCCTTGAGGATTTCGTTGGAAACGGGATTGTCTTCAGATAAAATCTAGACAGAAGCATTCTCAGAAACTTCTTTGGGATGTTTGCATTCAAGTCACAGAGTAGAACATTCCCTTTGGTAGAGCAGGTTTGAAACACTCTTTTTGTAGTATCTGGAAGTGGACATTTGGAGCGCTTTCAGGCCCATGTTGGAAAGGGAAATATCTTCCCGTAACAACTAGGCAGAAGCATTCTCAGAAACTTATTTGAGATGTGTGTACTCAACTAAGAGAATTGAACCACCGTTTTGAAGGAGCAGTTTTGAAACACTCTTTTTCTGGAATCTGCAAGAGTATATTTGCCTAGCCTTGAGGATTTCGTTGGAAACGGGATTGTCTTCAGATAAAATCTAGACAGAAGCATTCTCAGAAACTTCTTTGGGATGTTTGCATTCAAGTCACAGAGTAGAACATTCCCTTTGGTAGAGCAGGTTTGAAACACTCTTTTTTTAGTATATGGAAGTGGACATTTGGAGCGCTTTCAGGCCTACGTTGGAAAAGGAAATATCTTCCCATAACAACTAGACAGAAGCATTCTCAGAAACTAGTTTCTGATGTGTGTCCTCAACTAACACAGTTGAACATTTCTTTAGACAGAACAGTTTTGAAACACTCTTTTTGTGGAATCTGCAAGTGGCTATTTGGCTAGATTTGAGGATTTCGTTGGAAACGGGATTACATATAAAAAGCAGACAGCAGCATTCTCAGAAAGTTCTTTGTGATGATTGCATTCAAGTCACAGAATTGAACATTCCCTTTCACAGAGCAGGTTTGAAACACTCTTTTTGTAGTGTGTGTAAGTGGACATTTGGAGCACTTACCGGCCTAAGGTGAAAAAGGAAATATCTTCCCATAAAAACTAGACAGAAGCATTCTCAGAAACTTACTCGTGATGTGTGTCCTCAACTAAAGGAGTAGAACCTTTCTATTCATAGAGAAGTTTTCAAACGCTCTTTTTGTGGAATCTCCAAGAGGATATTTGGCTAGTTTTGAGGATTTCGTTTGAAGCGGGAATTCATACAAATTGCAGACTGCAGCGTTTTGAGAAACATCTTTGTGATGTTTGTATTCAGGACACAGAGATGAACATTCCCTATCATAGAGCAGGTTGGAATCACTCCTTTTGTAGTATCTGGAAGTGGACATTTGGAGCGCTTTCAGGCCTATGTTGAAAAAGGAAATATCTTCCCATAACAACTAGACACAAGCATTCTCAGAAACTTGTTTGTGATGTGTGCCCTCTACTGACAGAGTTGAACCTTTCTTTTCATAGAGCAGTTTTGAAACACTCTTTTTGTAGAATCTGCAAGAGGATATTTGCATAGCTTTGAGGATTTCGTGGGAAACGGGATTGTCTTCAGGTAAAATCTAGACAGAAGCATTCTCATAAAATTCTTTGGGATGTTTGCATTCAAGTCACAGAGTAGAACATTCCCTTTGGTAGAGCAGGTTTGAAACACTCTTTTTGTAGTATCTGGAAGTGGACATTTGGAGCGCTTTCAGGCCCATGTTGGAAAGGGAAATATCTTCCCGTAACAACTAGGCAGAAGCATTCTCAGAAACTTATTTGAGATGTGTGGACTCAACTAAGAGAATTGAACCACCGTTTTGAAGGAGCAGTTTTGAAACACTCTTTTTCTGGAATCTGCAAGAGTATATTTGCCTAGCCTTGAGGATTTCGTTGGAAACGGGATTGTCTTCAGATAAAATCTAGACAGAAGCATTCTCAGAAACTTCTTTGGGATGTTTGCATTCAAGTCACAGAGTAGAACATTCCCTTTGGTAGAGCAGGTTTGAAACACTCTTTTTTTAGTATATGGAAGTGGACATTTGGAGCGCTTTCAGGCCTACGTTGGAAAAGGAAATATCTTCCCATAACAACTAGACAGAAGCATTCTCAGAAACTAGTTTCTGATGTGTGTCCTCAACTAACACAGTTGAACATTTCTTTAGACAGAACAGTTTTGAAACACTCTCTTTGTGGAATCTGCAAGTGGATATTTGGCTAGATTTGAGGATTTCGTTGGAAACGGGATTACATATAAAAAGCAGACAGCGGCATTCTCAGAAAGTTCTTTGTGATGATTGCATTCAAGTCACAGAATTGAACATTCCCTTTCACAGAGCAGGTTTGAAACACTCTTTTTGTAGTGTGTGTAAGTGGACATTTGGAGCACTTACCGGCCTAAGGTGAAAAAGGAAATATCTTCCCATAAAAACTAGACAGAAGCATTCTCAGAAACTTACTCGTGATGTGTGTCCTCAACTAAAGGAGTAGAACCTTTCTTTTCATAGAGAAGTTTTGAAACGCTCTTTTTGTGGAATCTGCAAGTGGATATTTGGCTAGTTTTGAGGATTTCGTTGGAAGCGGGAATTCATACAAATTGCAGACTGCAGCGTTCTGAGAAACATCTTTGTGATGTTTGTATTCAGGACACAGAGTTGAACATTCCCTATCATAGAGCAGGTTTGAATCACTCCTTTTGTAGTATCTGGAAGTGGACATTTGGAGCGCTTTCAGGCCTATGTTGGAAAAGGAAATATCTTCCCATAACAACTAGACAGAAGCATTCTCAGAAACTTATTTGAGATGTGTGTACTCAACTAAGAGAATTGAACCACCGTTTTGAAGGAGCAGTTTTGAAACTCTCTTTTTCTGGAATCTGCAAGTGGATATTTGGCTAGCTTTGGGGATTTCGCTGGAAGCGGGAATACATATAAAAAGCACACAGCAGCGTTCTGAGAAACTGCTTTCTGATGTTTGCATTCAAGTCAAAAGTTGAACACTCCCTTTCATAGAGCAGTCTTGAAACACCCCTTTTGTAGTATCTGGAACTGGACTTTTGGAGCGATTTCAGGGCTAAGGTGAAAAAGGAAATATCTTCCCATAAAAACTGGACAGAAGCATTCTCAGAAACTTGGTTATGCTGTATCTACTCAACTAACAAAGTTGAACCTTTCTTTTGATAGAGCAGTTTTGAAATGGTCTTTTTGTGGAATCTGCAAGTGGATATTTGGCTAGTTTTGAGGATTTCGTTGGAAGCGGGAATTCATACAAATTGCAGACTGCAGCGTTCTGAGAAACATCTTTGTGATGTTTGTATTCAGGACACAGAGTTGAACATTCCCTATCATAGAGCAGGTTGGAATCACTCCTTTTGTAGTATCTGGAAGTGGACATTTGGAGCGCTTTCAGGCCTATTTTGGAAAGGGAAATATCTTCCCGTAACAACTATGCAGAAGCATTCTCAGAAACTTGTTTGTGATGTGTGCCCTCTACTGACAGAGTTGAACCTTTCTTTTCATAGAGCAGTTTTGAAACACTACAAAAAAAAAACATTCTTTTTGTAGAATCTGCAAGAGGATATTTGCATAGCTTTGAGGATTTCGTGGGAAACGGGATTGTCTTCAGGTAAAATCTAGACAGAAGCATTCTCAGAAACTTCTTTGGGATGTTTGCATTCAAGTCACAGAGTAGAACATTCCCTTTGGTAGAGCAGGTTTGAAACACTCTTTTTGTAGTATCTGGAAGTGGACATTTGGAGCGCTTTCAGGCCCATGTTGGAAAGGGAAATATCTTCCCGTAACAACTAGGCAGAAGCATTCTCAGAAACTTATTTGAGATGTGTGTACTCAAGTAAGAGAATTGAACCACCGTTTTGAAGGAGCAGTTTTGAAACACTCTTTTTCTGGAATCTGCAAGAGGATATTTGCCTAGCCTTGATGATTTCGTTGGAAACGGGATTGTCTTCAGATCAAATCTAGACAGAAGCATTCTCAGAAACTTCTTTGGGATGTTTGCATTCAAGTCACAGAGTAGAACGTTCCCTTTGGTAGAGCAGGTTTCAAACACTCTTTTTTTAGTATATGGAAGTGGACATTTGGAGCGCTTTCAGGCCTACGTTGGAAAAGGAAATATCTTCCCATAACAACTAGACAGAAGCATTCTCAGAAACTAGTTTCTGATGTGTGTCCTCAACTAACACAAATGAACTTTTCTTTAGACAGAACAGTTTTGAAACACTCTTTTTGTGGAATCTGCAAGTGGATATTTGGCTAGATTTGAGGATTTCGTTGGAAACGGGATTACATATAAAAAGCAGACAGCAGCATTCACAGAAACTTCTTTGTGATGATTGCATTCAAGTCACAGAATTGAACATTCCCTTTCACAGAGCAGGTTTGAAACACTCTTTTTGTAGTGTGTGTAAGTGGACATTTGGAGCACTTTCCGGCCTAAGGTGAAAAAGGAAATATCTTCCCATAAAAACTAGACAGATAAGCATTCTCAGAAACTTACTCGTGATGTGTGTCCTCAACTAAAGGAGTAGAACCTTTCTTTTCATAGAGAAGTTTTGAAACGCTCTTTTTGTGGAATCTGCAAGTGGATATTTGCCTAGTTTTGAGGATTTCGTTGGAAGCGGGAATTCATACAAATTGCAGACTGCAGCGTTCTGAGAAACATCTTTGTGATGTTTGTATTCAAGACACAGAGATGAACATTCCCTATCATAGAGCATGTTGGAATCACTCCTTTTGTAGTATCTGGAAGTGGACATTTGGAGCGCTTTCAGGCCCACGTTGGAAAGGGAAATATCTTCCCGTAACAACTAGGCAGAAGCATTCTCAGAAACTTATTTGAGATGTGTGTACTCAACTAAGAGAATTGAACCACCGTTTTGAAGGAGCAGTTTTGAAACACTCTTTTTCTGGAATCTGCAAGAGTATATTTGCCTAGCCTTGAGATTTTCGTTGGAAACGGGATTGTCTTCAGATAAAATCTAGACAGAAGCATTCTCAGAAACTTCTTTGGGATGTTTGCATTCAAGTCACAGAGTAGAACATTCCCTTTGGTAGAGCAGGTTTGAAACACTCTTTTTTTAGTATATGGAAGTGGACATTTGGAGCGCTTTCAGGCCTACGTTGGAAAAGGAAATATCTTCCCATAACAACTAGACAGAAGCATTCTCAGAAACTAGTTTCTGATGTGTGTCCTCAACTAACACAGTTGTACATTTCTTTAGACAGAACAGTTTTGAAACACTCTTTTTGTGGAATCTGCAAGTGGATATTGGGGTAGATTTGAGGATTTCGTTGGAAACGGGATTACATATAAAAAGCAGTCAGCAGCATTCTCAGAACGTTCTTTGTGATGATTGCATTCAAGTCACAGAATTGAACATTCCCTTTCACAGAGCAGGTTTGAAACACTCTTTTTGTAGTGTGTGTAAGTGGACATTTGGAGCACTTTCCGGCCTAAGGTGAAAAAGGAAATATCTTCCCATAAAAACTAGACAGAAGCATTCTCAGAAACTTACTCGTGATGTGTGTCCTCAACTAAAGGAGTAGAACCTTTCTTTTCATAGAGAAGTTTTGAAACGCTCTTTTTGTGGAATCTGCAAGTGGATATTTGGCTAGTTTGGAGGATTTCGTTGGAAGCGGGAATTCATACAAATTGCAGACTGCAGCGTTCTGAGAAACATCTTTGTGATGTTTGTATTCAGGACACAGAGTTGAACATTCCCTATCATAGAGCAGGTTGGAATCACTCCTTTTGTAGTATCTGGAAGTGGACATTTGGAGCGCTTTCAGGCCTATGTTGGAAAAGGAAATATCTTCCCATAACAACTAGACAGAAGCATTCTCAGAAACTTATTTGAGATGTGTGTACTCAACTAAGAGAATTGAACCACCGTTTTGAAGGAGCAGTTTTGAAACTCTCTTTTTCTGGAATCTGCAAGTGGATATTTGGCTAGCTTTGGGGATTTCGCTGGAAGCGGGAATACATATAAAAAGCACACAGCAGCGTTCTGAGAAACTGCTTTCTGATGTTTGCATTCAAGTCAAAAGTTGAACACTCCCTTTCATAGAGCAGTCTTGAAACACCCCTTTTGTAGTATCTGGAACTGGACTTTTGGAGCGATTTCAGGGCTAAGGTGAAAAAGGAAATATCTTCCCATAAAAACTGGACAGAAGCATTCTCAGAAACTTGTTTATGCTGTATCTACTCAACTAACAAAGTTGAACCTTTCTTTTGATAGAGCAGTTTTGAAATGGTCTTTTTGTGGAATCTGCAAGTGGATATTTGGCTAGTTTTGAGGATTTCGTTGGAAGCGGGAATTCATACAAATTGCAGACTGCAGCGTTCTGAGAAACATCTTTGTGATGTTTGTATTCAGGACACAGAGTTGAACATTCCCTATCATAGAGCAGGTTGGAATCACTCCTTTTGTAGTATCTGGAAGTGGACATTTGGAGCGCTTTCAGGCCTATTTTGGAAAGGGAAATATCTTCCCGTAACAACTATGCAGAAGCATTCTCAGAAACTTGTTTGTGATGTGTGCCCTCTACTGACAGAGTTGAACCTTTCTTTTCATAGAGCAGTTTTGAAACACTCTTTTTGTAGAATCTGCAAGAGGATATTTGCATAGCTTTGAGGATTTCGTGGGAAACGGGATTGTCTTCAGGTAAAATCTAGACAGAAGCATTCTCAGAAACTTCTTTGGGATGTTTGCATTCAAGTCACAGAGCAGAACATTCCCTTTGGTAGAGCAGGTTTGAAACACTCTTTTTGTAGTATCTGGAAGTGGACATTTGGAGCGCTTTCAGGCCTATGTTGGAAAGGGAAATATCTTCCCGTAACAACTAGGCAGAAGCATTCTCAGAAACTTATTTGAGATGTGTGTACTCAACTAAGAGAATTGAACCACCGTTTTGAAGGAGCAGTTTTGAAACACTCTTTTTCTGGAATCTGCAAGAGTATATTTGCCTAGCCTTGAGGATTTCGTTGGAAACGGGATTGTCTTCAGAGAAAATCTAGACAGAAGCATTCTCAGAAACTTCTTTGGGATGTTTGCATTCAAGTCACAGAGTAGAACATTCCCTTTGGTAGAGCAGGTTTGAAACACTCTTTTTTTAGTATATGGAAGTGGACATTTGGAGCGCTTTCAGGCCTACGTTGGAAAAGGAAATATCTTCCCATAACAACTAGACAGAAGCATTCTCAGAAACTAGTTTCTGATGTGTGTCCTCAACTAACACAGTTGAACATTTCTTTAGACAGAACAGTTTTGAAACACTCTTTTTGTGGAATCTGCAAGTGGCTATTTGGCTAGATTTGAGGATTTCGTTGGAAACGGGATTACATATAAAAAGCAGTCAGCAGCATTCTCAGAAAGTTCTTTGTGATGATTGCATTCAAGTCACAGAATTGAACATTCCCTTTCACAGAGCAGGTTTGAAACACTCTTTTTGTAGTGTGTGTAAGTGGACATTTGGAGCACTTACCGGCCTAAGGTGAAAAAGGAAATATCTTCCCATAAAAACTAGACAGAAGCATTCTCAGAAACTTACTCGTGATGTGTGTCCTCAACTAAAGGAGTAGAACCTTTCTTTTCATAGAGAAGTTTTGAAACGCTCTTTTTGTGGAATCTGCAAGTGGATATTTGGCTAGTTTTGAGGATTTCGTTGGAAGCGGGAATTCATACAAATTGCAGACTGCAGCGTTCTGAGAAACATCTTTTTGATGTTTGTATTCAGGACACAGAGTTGAACATTCCCTATCATAGAGCAGGTTTGAATCACTCCTTTTGTAGTATCTGGAAGTGGACATTTGGAGCGCTTTCAGGCCTATGTTGGAAAAGGAAATATCTTCCCATAACAACTAGACAGAAGCATTCTCAGAAACTTATTTGAAGATGTGTGTACTCAACTAAGAGAATTGAACCACCGTTTTGAAGGAGCAGTTTTGAAACACTCTTTTTCTGGAATCTGCAAGTGGATATTTGGCTAGCTTTGGGGATTTCGCTGGAAGCGGGAATACATATAAAAAGCACACAGCAGCATTCTCAGAAACTTATTTGAGATGTGTGTACTCAACTAAGAGAATTGAACCACCGTTTTGAAGGAGCAGTTTTGAAACACTCTTTTTCTGGAATCTGCAAGTGGATATTTGGCTAGCTTTGGGGATTTCGCTGGAAGCGGGAATACATATAAAAAGCACACAGCAGGGTTCTGAGAAACTTCTTTCTGATGTTCGCATTCAAGTCAAAAGTTGAACACTCCCTTTCATAGAGCAGTCTTGAAACTCCCCTTTTGTGGTATCTGGAAGTGGACATTTGGAGTGCTTTCAGGGCTAAGGTGAAAAAGGAAATATCTTCCCATAAAAACTGGACAGAAGCATTCTCAGAAACTTGTTTATGCTGTATCTACTCAGCTAACAAAGTTGAACCTTTCTTTTGATAGAGCAGTTTTGAAATGCTCTTTTTGTGGAGTCTGCAAGTGGATATTTGGTTAGTTTTGAGGATTTCGTTGGAAGGGGGAATTCATACAAATTGCAGACTGCAGCGTTCTGAGAAACATCTTTGTGATGTTTGTATTCAGGACACAGAGTTGAACATTCCCTATCATAGAGCAGGTTGGAATCACTCCTTTTGTAGTATCTGGAAGTGGACATTTGGAGCGCTTTCAGGCCTATTTTGGAAAGGGAAATATCTTCCCGTAACAACTATGCAGAAGCATTCTCAGAAACTAGTTTGTGATGTGTGCCCTCTACTGACAGAGTTGAACCTTTCTTTTCATAGAGCAGTTTTGAAACACTCTTTTTGTAGAATCTGCAAGAGGATATTTGCATAGCTTTGAGGATTTCGTGGGAAACGGGATTGTCTTCAGGTAAAATCTAGACAGAAGCATTCTCAGAAACTTCTTTGGGATGTTTGCATTCAAGTCACAGAGTAGAACATTCCCTTTGGTAGAGCAGGTTTGAAACACTCTTTTTGTAGTATCTGGAAGTGGACATTTGGAGCGCTTTCAGGCCCATGTTGGAAAAGGAAATATCTTCCAGTAACAACTAGGCAGAAGCATTCTCAGAAACTTATTTGAGATGTGTGTACTCAAGTAAGAGAACTGAACCACCGTTTTGAAGGAGCAGTTTTGAAACACTCTTTTTCTGGAATCTGCAAGAGTATATTTGCCTAGCCTTGAGGATTTCGTTGGAAACGGGATTGTCTTCAGACAAAATCTAGACAGAAGCATTCTCAGAAACTTCTTTGAGATGTTTGCATTCAAGTCACAGAGTAGAACATTCCCTTTGGTAGAGCAGGTTTGAAACACTCTTTTTTTAGTATATGGAAGTGGACATTTTGAGCGCTTTCAGGCCTACGTTGGAAAAGGAAATATCTTCCCATAACAACTAGACAGAAGCATTCTCAGAAACTAGTTTCTGATGTGTGTCCTCAACTAACACAGTTGTACATTTCTTTATACAGAACAGTTTTGAAACACTCTTTTTGTGGAATCTGCAAGTGGATATTGGGCTAGATTTGAGGATTTCGTTGGAAACGGGATTACATATAAAAAGCAGTCAGCAGCATTCTCAGAAAGTTCTTTGTGATGATTGCATTCAAGTCACAGAATTGAACATTCCCTTTCACAGAGCAGGTTTGAAACACTCTTTTTGTAGTGTGTGTAAGTGGACATTTGGAGCGCTTTCCGGCCTAAGGTGAAAAAGGACATATCTTCCCATAAAAACTAGACAGAAAGCATTCTCAGCAAACTTACTCGTGATGTGTGTCCTCAACTAAAGGAGTAGAACCTTTCTTTTCATAGAGAAGTTTTGAAACGCTCTTTTTGTGGAATCTGCAAGTGGATATTTGGCTAGTTTTGAGGATTTCGTTGGAAGCGGGAATTCATACAAATTGCAGACTGCAGCGTTCTGAGAAACATCTTTGTGATGTTTGTATTCAGGACACAGAGTTGAACATTCCCTATCATAGAGCAGGTTTGAATCACTCCTTTTGTAGTATCTGGAAGTGGACATTTGGAGCGCTTTCAGGCCTATGTTGGAAAAGGAAATATCTTCCCATAACAACTAGACAGAAGCATTCTCAGAAACTTATTTGAGATGTGTCTACTCAACTAAGAGAATTGAACCACCGTTTTGAAGGAGCAGTTTTGAAACACCCTTTTTCTGGAATCTGCAAGTGGATATTTGGCTAGCTTTGGGGATTTCGCTGGAAGCGGGAATACATATAAAAAGCACACAGCAGCGTTCTGAGAAACTGCTTTCTGATGTTTGCATTCAAGTCAAAAGTTGAACACTCCCTTTCATAGAGCAGTCTTGAAACACCCCTTTTGTAGTATCTGGAACTGGACTTTTGGAGCGATTTTAGGGCTAAGGTGAAAAAGGAAATATCTTCCCATAAAAACTGGACAGAAGCATTCTCAGAAACTTGTTTATGCTGTATCTACTCAACTAACAAAGTTGAACCTTTCTTTTGATAGAGCAGTTTTGAAATGGTCTTTTTGTGGAATCTGCAAGTGGATATTTGGCTAGTTTTGAGGATTTCGTTGGAAGCGGGAATTCATACAAATTGCAGACTGCAGCGTTCTGAGAAACATCTTTGTGATGTTTGTATTCAGGACACAGAGTTGAACATTCCCTATCATAGAGCAGGTTGGAATCACTCCTTTTGTAGTATCTGGAAGTGGACATTTGGAGCGCTTTCAGGCCTATGTTGGAAAAGGAAATATCTTCCCATAACAACTAGACAGAAGCATTCTCAGAAACTTATTTGAGATGTGTGTACTCAACTAAGAGAATTGAACCACCGTTTTGAAGGAGCAGTTTTGAAACTCTCTTTTTCTGGAATCTGCAAGTGGATATTTGGCTAGCTTTGGGGATTTCGCTGGAAGCGGGAATACATATAAAAAGCACACAGCAGCGTTCTGAGAAACTGCTTTCTGATGTTTGCATTCAAGTCAAAAGTTGAACACTCCCTTTCATAGAGCAGTCTTGAAACACCCCTTTTGTAGTATCTGGAACTGGACTTTTGGAGCGATTTCAGGGCTAAGGTGAAAAAGGAAATATCTTCCCATAAAAACTGGACAGAAGCATTCTCAGAAACTTGGTTATGCTGTATCTACTCAACTAACAAAGTTGAACCTTTCTTTTGATAGAGCAGTTTTGAAATGGTCTTTTTGTGGAATCTGCAAGTGGATATTTGGCTAGTTTTGAGGATTTCGTTGGAAGCGGGAATTCATACAAATTGCAGACTGCAGCGTTCTGAGAAACATCTTTGTGATGTTTGTATTCAGGACAGAGAGTTGAACATTCCCTATCATAGAGCAGGTTGGAATCACTCCTTTTGTAGTATCTGGAAGTGGACATTTGGAGCGCTTTCAGGCCTATGTTGAAAAAGGAAATATCTTCCCATAACAACTAGACACAAGCATTCTCAGAAACTTGTTTGTGATGTGTGCCCTCTACTGACAGAGTTGAACCTTTCTTTTCATAGAGCAGTTTTGAAACACTCTTTTTGTAGAATCTGCAAGAGGATATTTGCATAGCTTTGAGGATTTCGTGGGAAACGGGATTGTCTTCAGGTAAAATCTAGACAGAAGCATTCTCAGAAACTTCTTTGGGATGTTTGCATTCAAGTCACAGAGCAGAACATTCCCTTTGGTAGAGCAGGTTTGAAACACTCTTTTTGTAGTATCTGGAAGTGGACATTTGGAGCGCTTTCAGGCCTATGTTGGAAAGGGAAATATCTTCCCGTAACAACTAGGCAGAAGCATTCTCAGAAACTTATTTGAGATGTGTGTACTCAACTAAGAGAATTGAACCACCGTTTTGAAGGAGCAGTTTTGAAACACTCTTTTTCTGGAATCTGCAAGAGGATATTTGCCTAGCCTTGAGGATTTCGTTGGAAACGGGATTGTCTTCAGATCAAATCTAGACAGAAGCATTCTCAGAAACTTCTTTGGGATGTTTGCATTCAAGTCACAGAGTAGAACATTCCCTTTGGTAGAGCAGGTTTGAAACACTCTTTTTTTAGTATATGGAAGTGGACATTTGGAGCGCTTTCAGGCCTACGTTGGAAAAGGAAATATCTTCCCATAACAACTAGACAGAAGCATTCTCAGAAACTAGTTTCTGATGTGTGTCCTCAACTAACACAGTTGAACATTTCTTTAGACAGAACAGTTTTGAAACTCTCTTTTTGTGGAATCTGCAAGTGGCTATTTGGCTAGATTTGAGGATTTCGTTGGAAACGGGATTACATATAAAAAGCAGACAGCAGCATTCTCAGAAAGTTCTTTGTGATGATTGCATTCAAGTCACAGAATTGAACATTCCCTTTCACAGAGCAGGTTTGAAACACTCTTTTTATAGTGTGTCTAAGTGGACATTTGGAGCACTTTCCGGCCTAAGGTGAAAAAGGAAATATCTTCCCATAAAAACTAGACAGAAGCATTCTCAGAAACTTACTCGTGATGTGTGTCCTCAACTAAAGGAGTAGAACCTTTGTTTTCATAGAGAAGTTTTGAAACGCTCTTTTTGTGGAATCTGCAAGTGGATATTTGGCTAGTTTGGAGGATTTCGTTGGAAGCGGGAATTCATACAAATTGCAGACTGCAGCGTTCTGAGAAACATCTTTGTGATGTTTGTATTCAGGACACAGAGTTGAACATTCCCTATCATAGAGCAGGTTGGAATCACTCCTTTTGTAGTATCTGGAAGTGGACATTTGGAGCGCTTTCAGGCCTATGTTGGAAAAGGAAATATCTTCCCATAACAACTAGACAGAAGCATTCTCAGAAACTTATTTGAGATGTGTGTACTCAACTAAGAGAATTGAACCACCGTTTTGAAGGAGCAGTTTTGAAACACTCTTTTTCTGGAATCTGCAAGTGGATATTTGGCTAGCTTTGTGGATTTCGCTGGAAGCGGGAATACATATAAAAAGCACACAGCAGCGTTCTGAGAAACTGCTTTCTGATGTTTGCATTCAAGTCAAAAGTTGAACACTCCCATTTATAGAGCAGTCCTGAAACACTCCTTTTGTAGTATCTGGAACTGGACTTTTGGAGCGCTTTCAGGGCTAAGGTGAAAAAGGAAATATCTTCCCATAAAAACTGGACAGAAGCATTCTCAGAAACTTGTTTATGCTGTATCTACTCAACTAACAAAGTTGAACCTTTCTTTTGATAGAGCAGTTTTGAAATGCTCTTTTTGTGGAATCTGCAAGTGGATATTTGGCTAGTTTTGAGGATTTCGCTGGAAGCGGGAATTCATACAAATTGCAGACTGCAGCGTTCTGAGAAACATCTTTGTGATGTTTGTATTCAGGACAGAGAGTTGAACATTCCCTATCATAGAGCAGGTTGGAATCACTCCTTTTGTAGTATCTGGAAGTGGACATTTGGAGCGCTTTCAGGCCTATGTTGAAAAAGGAAATATCTTCCCATAACAACTAGACACAAGCATTCTCAGAAACTTGTTTGTGATGTGTGCCCTCTACTGACAGAGTTGAACCTTTCTTTTCATAGAGCAGTTTTGAAACACTCTTTTTGTAGAATCTGCAAGAGGATATTTGCATAGCTTTGAGGATTTCGTGGGAAACGGGATTGTCTTCAGGTAAAATCTAGACAGAAGCATTCTCAGAAACTTCTTTGGGATGTTTGCATTCAAGTCACAGAGTAGAACATTCCCTTTGGTAGAGCAGGTTTGAAACCCTTTTTTTGTAGTATCTGGAAGTGGACATTTGGAGCGCTTTCAGGCCCATGTTGGAAAGGGAAATATCTTCCCGTAACAACTAGGCAGAAGCATTCTCAGAAACTAGTTTCTGATGTGTGTCCTCAACTAACACAGTTGAACTTTTCTTTAGACAGAACAGTTTTGAAACACTCTTTTTGTGGAATCTGCAAGTGGATATTTGGCTAGATTTGAGGATTTCGTTGGAAACGGGATTACATATAAAAAGCAGACAGCAGCATTCTCAGAAAGTTCTTTGTGATGATTGCATTCAAGTCACAGAATTGAACATTGCCTTTCACAGAGCAGGTTTGAAACACTCTTTTTGTAGTGTGTGTAAGTGGACATTTGGAGCGCTTTCCGGCCTAAGGTGAAAAAGGAAATATCTTCCCATAAAAACTAGACAGAAGCATTCTCAGAAACTTACTCGTGATGTGTGTCCTCAACTAAAGGAGTAGAACCTTTCTTTTCATAGAGAAGTTTTGAAACGCTCTTTTTGTGGAATCTGCGAGTGGATAATTGGCTAGTTTTGAGGATTTCGTTGGAAGCGGGAATTCATACAAATTGCAGACTGCAGCGTTCTGAGAAACATCTTTGTGATGTTTGTATTCAGGACACAGAGTTGAACATTCCCTATCATAGAGCAGGTTTGAATCACTCCTTTTGTAGTATCTGGAAGTGGACATTTGGAGCGCTTTCAGGCCTATGTTGGAAAAGGAAATATCTTCCCATAACAACTAGACAGAAGCATTCTCAGAAACTTATTTTTGATGTGTGCCCTCTACTGACAGAGTTGAACCTTTCTTTTCATAGAGCAGTTTCGAAACACTCTTTTTGTAGAATCTGCAAGAGGATATTTGCATAGCTTTGAGGATTTCGTGGGAAACGGGATTGTCTTCAGGTAAAATCTAGACAGAAGCATTCTGATAAACTTCTTTGGGATGTTTGCATTCAAGTCACAGAGTAGAACATTCCCTTTGGTAGAGCAGGTTTGAAACACTCTTTTTGTATTATCTGGAAGTGGACATTTGGAGCGCTTTCAGGCCTATGTTGGAAAGGGAAATATCTTCCCGTAACAACTAGGCAGAAGCATTCTCAGAAACTTATTTGAGATGTGTGTACTCAACTAAGAGAATTGAATCACCGTTTTGAAGGAGCAGTTTTGAAACACTCTTTTTCTGGAATCTGCAAGAGGATATTTGCCTAGCCTTGAGGATTTCGTTGGAAACGGGATTGTCTTTAGATCAAATCTAGACAGAAGCATTCTCAGAAACTTCTTTGGGATGTTTGCATTCAAGTCACAGAGTAGAACATTCCCTTTGGTAGAGCAGGTTTGAAACACTCTTTTTTTAGTATATGGAAGTGGACATTTGGAGCGCTTTCAGGCCTACGTTGGAAAAGGATATATCTTCCCATAACAACTAGACAGAAGCATTCTCAGAAACTAGTTTCTGATGTGTTTCCTCAACTAACACAGTTGAACATTTCTTTAGACAGAACAGTTTTGAAACACTCTTTTTGTGGAATCTGCAAGTGGCTATTTGGCTAGATTTGAGGATTTCGTTGGAAACGGGATTACATATAAAAAGCAGACAGCAGCATTCTCAGAAAGTTCTTTGTGATGATTGCATTCAAGTCACAGAATTGAACATTCCCTTTCACAGAGCAGGTTTGAAACTCTCTTTTTGTAGTGTGTGTAAGTGGACATTTGGAGCACTTTCTGGCCTAAGGTGAAGAAGGGAATATCTTCCCATAAAAACTAGACAGAAGCATTCTCAGAAACTTACTCGTGATGTGTGTCCTCAACTAAAGGAGTAGAACCTTTGTTTTCATAGAGAAGTTTTGAAACGCTCTTTTTGTGGAATCTGCAAGTGGATATTTGGCTAGTTTTGAGGATTTCGTTGGAAGCGGGAATTCATACAAATTGCAGACTGCAGCGTTCTGAGAAACATCTTTGTGATGTTTGTATTCAGGACACAGAGTTGAACATTCCCTATCATAGAGCAGGTTTGAATCACTCCTTTTGTAGTATCTGGAAGTGGACATTTGGAGCGCTTTCAGGCCTATGTTGGAAAAGGAAATATCTTCCCATAACAACTAGACAGAAGCATTCTCAGAAACTTATTTGAGATGTGTGTACTCAACTAAGAGAATTGAACCACCGTTTTGAAGAAGCAGTTTTGAAACACTCTTTTTCTGGAATC
This sequence comes from Homo sapiens, assembly GCF_000001405.40. Classification (NCBI taxonomy): domain Eukaryota; kingdom Metazoa; phylum Chordata; class Mammalia; order Primates; family Hominidae; genus Homo; species Homo sapiens. The sequence goes on from NC_000018.10 coordinate 18,766,997, forward strand.
TGCAAGTGGATATTTGGCTAGCTTTGGGGATTTCGCTGGAAGCGGGAATACATATAAAAAGCACACAGCAGAATTCTCAGAAAGTTCTTTCTGATGTTCGCATTCAAGTCAAAAGTTGAACACTCCCTTTCATACAGCAGTCTTGAAACTCCCCTTTTGTGGTATCTGGAAGTGGACATTTGGAGTGCTTTCAGGGCTAAGGTGAAAAAGGAAATATCTTCCCATAAAAACTGGACAGAAGCATTCTCAGAAACTTGTTTATGCTGTATCTACTCAACTAACAAAGTTGAACCTTTCTTTTGATAGAGCAGTTTTGAAATGCTCTTTTTGTGGAATCTGCAAGTGGATATTTGGCTAGTTTTGAGGATTTCGTTGGAAGCGGGAATTCATACAAATTGCAGACTGCAGCGTTCTGAGAAACATCTTTGTGATGTTTGTATTCAGGACAGAGAGTTGAACATTCCCTATCATAGAGCAGGTTGGAATCACTCCTTTTGTAGTATCTGGAAGTGGACATTTGGAGCGCTTTCAGGCCTATGTTGGAAAAGGAAATATCTTCCCATAACAACTAGACAGAAGCATTCTCAGAAACTTGTTTGTGATGTGTGCCCTCTACTGACAGAGTTGAACCTTTCTTTTCATAGAGCAGTTTTGAAACACTCTTTTTGTAGAATCTGCAAGAGGATATTTGCATAGCTTTGAGGATTTCGTGGGAAACGGGATTGTCTTCAGGTAAAATCTAGACAGAAGCATTCTCAGAAACTTCTTTGGGATGTTTGCATTCAAGTCACAGAGTAGAACATTCCCTTTGGTAGAGCAGGTTTGAAACACTCTTTTTGTAGTATCTGGAAGTGGACATTTGGAGCGCTTTCAGGCCTATGTTGGAAAGGGAAATATCTTCCCGTAACAACTAGGCAGAAGCATTCTCAGAAACTTATTTGAGATGTGTGTACTCAACTAAGAGAATTGAACCACCGTTTTGAAGGAGCAGTTTTGAAACACTCTTTTTCTGGAATCTGCAAGAGGATATTTGCCTAGCCTTGAGGATTTCGTTGGAAACGGGATTGTCTTCAGATCAAATCTAGACAGAAGCATTCTCAGAAACTTCTTTGGGATGTTTGCATTCAAGTCACAGAGTAGAACATTCCCTTTGGTAGAGCAGGTTTGAAACACTCTTTTTTTAGTATATGGAAGTGGACATTTGGAGCGCTTTCAGGCCTACGTTGGAAAAGGAAATATCTTCCCATAACAACTAGACAGAAGCATTCTCAGAAACTAGTTTCTGATGTGTGTCCTCAACTAACACAGTTGAACATTTCTTTAGACAGAACAGTTTTGAAACACTCTTTTTGTGGAATCTGCAAGTGGCTATTTGGCTAGATTTGAGGATTTCGTTGGAAACGGGATTACATATAAAAAGCAGACAGCAGCATTCTCAGAAAGTTCTTTGTGATGATTGCATTCAAGTCACAGAATTGAACATTCCCTTTCACAGAGCAGGTTTGAAACACTCTTTTTATAGTGTGTGTAAGTGGACATTTGGAGCACTTTCCGGCCTAAGGTGAAAAAGGAAATATCTTCCCATAAAAACTAGACAGAAGCATTCTCAGAAACTTACTCGTGATGTGTGTCCTCAACTAAAGGAGTAGAACCTTTCTTTTCATAGAGAAGTTTTGAAACGCTCTTTTTGTGGAATCTGCAAGTGGATATTTGGCTAGTTTGGAGGATTTCGTTGGAAGCGGGAATTCATACAAATTGCAGACTGCAGCGTTCTGAGAAACATCTTTGTGATGTTTGTATTCAGGACACAGAGTTGAACATTCCCTATCATAGAGCAGGTTGGAATCACTCCTTTTGTAGTATCTGGAAGTGGACATTTGGAGTGCTTTCAGGCCTATGTTGGAAAAGGAAATATCTTCCCATAACAACTAGACAGAAGCATTCTCAGAAACTTATTTGAGATGGGTGTACTCAACTAAGAGAATTGAACCACCGTTTTCAAGGAGCAGTTTTGAAACGCTCTTTTTCTGGAATCTGCAAGTGGATATTTGGCTAGCTTTGGGGATTTCGCTGGAAGCGGGAATACATATAAAAAACACACAGCAGCGTTCTGAGAAACTGCTTTCTGATGTTTGCATTCAAGTCAAAAGTTGAACACTCCCTTTCATAGAGCAGTCTTGAAACACCCCTTTTGTAGTATCTGGAACTGGACATTTGGAGCGCTTTCAGGGCTAAGGTGAAAAAGGAAATATCTTCCCATAAAAACTGGACAGAAGCATTCTCAGAAACTTGTTTATGCTGTATCTACTCTACTAACAAAGTTGAACCTTTCTTTTGATAGAGCAGTTTTGAAATGCTCTTTTTGTGGAATCTGCAAGTGGATATTTGGCTAGTTTTGAGGATTTCGTTGGAAGCTGGAATTCATGCAAATTGCAGACTGCAGCGTTCTGAGAAACATCTTTGTGATGTTTGTATTCAGGACAGAGAGTTGAACATTCCCTATCATAGAGCAGGTTGGAATCACTCCTTTTGTAGTATCTGGAAGTGGACATTTGGAGCGCTTTCAGGCCTATTTTGGAAAGGGAAATATCTTCCCGTAACAACTATGCAGAAGCATTCTCAGAAACTTGTTTGTGATGTGTGCCCTCTACTGACAGAGTTGAACCTTTCTTTTCATAGAGCAGTTTTGAAACACTCTTTTTGTAGAATCTGCAAGAGGATATTTGCATAGCTTTGAGGATTTCGTGGGAAACGGGATTGTCGTCAGGAAAAATCTAGACAGAAGCATTCTCAGAAACTTCTTTGGGATGTTTGCATTCAAGTCACAGAGTAGAAGATTCCCTTTGGTAGAGCAGGTTTGAAACACTCTTTTTTTCGTATATGGAAGTGGACATTTGGAGCGCTTTCAGGCCTACGTTGGAAAAGGAAATATCTTCCCATAACAACTAGACAGAAGCATTCTCAGAAACTTATTTGAGATGTGTGGACTCAACGAAGAGAATTGAACCACCGTTTTGAAGGAGCAGTTTTGAAACACTCTTTTTCTGGAATCTGCAAGAGTATATTTGCCTAGCCTTGAGGATTTCGTTGGAAACGGGATTGTCTTCAGATAAAATCTAGACAGAAGCATTCTCAGAAACTTCTTTGGGATGTTTGCATTCAAGTCACAGAGTAGAACATTCCCTTTGGTAGAGCAGGTTTGAAACACTCTTTTTTTAGTATATGGAAGTGGACATTTGGAGCGCTTTCAGGCCTACGTTGGAAAAGGAAATATCTTCCCATAACAACTAGACAGAAGCATTCTCAGAAACTAGTTTCTGATGTGTGTCCTCAACTAACACAGTTGAACTTTTCTTTAGACAGGACAGTTTTGAAACACTCTTTTTGTGGAATCTGCAAGTGGATATTGGGCTAGATTTGAGGATTTCGTTGGAAACGGGATTACATATAAAAAGCAGACAGCAGCATTCTCAGAAAGTTCTTTGTGATGATTGCATTCAAGTCACAGAATTGAACATTCCCTTTCACAGAGCAGGTTTGAAACACTCTTTTTGTAGTGTGTGTAAGTGGACATTTGGAGCGCTTTCCGGCCTAAGGTGAAAAAGGACATATCTTCCCATAAAAATTAGACAGAAGCATTCTCAGAAACTTAATCGTGATGTGTGTCCTCAACTAAAGGAGTAGAACCTTTCTATTCATAGAGAAGTTTTGAAACGCTCTTTTTGTGGAATCTCCAAGTGGATATTTGGCTAGTTTTGAGGATTTCGTTGGAAGCGGGAATTCACACAAATTGCAGACTGCAGCGTTCTGAGAAACATCTTTGTGATGTTTGTATTCAGGACACAGAGATGAACATTCCCTATCATAGAGCATGTTGGAATCACTCCTTTTGTAGTATCTGGAAGTGGACATTTGGAGCGCTTTCAGGCCTATGTTGAAAAAGGAAATATCTTCCCATAACAACTAGACACAAGCATTCTCAGAAACTTATTTGAGATGTGTGTACTCAACTAAGAGAATTGAACCACCGTTTTGAAGGAGCAGTTTTGAAACACTCTTTTTCTGGAATCTGCAAGTGGATATTTGGCTAGCTTTGGGGATTTCGCTGGAAGCGGGAATACATATAAAAAGCACACAGCAGCGTTCTGAGAAACTGCTTTCTGATGTTTGCATTCAAGTCAAAAGTTGAACACTCCCTTTCATAGAGCAGTCCTGAAACACTCCTTTTGTAGTATCTGGAACTGGACTTTTGGAGCGCTTTCAGGGCTAAGGTGAAAAAGGAAATATCTTCCCATAAAAACTGGACAGAAGCATTCTCAGAAACTTGTTTATGCTGTATCTACTCTACTAAAAAAGTTGAACCTTTCTTTTGATAGAGCAGTTTTGAAATGCTCTTTTTGTGGAATCTACAAGTGGATATTTGGCTAGATTTGAGGATTTCGTTGGAAGCTGGAATACATACAAATTGCAGACTGCAGCGTTCTGAGAAACATCTTTGTGATGTTTGTATTCAGGACACAGAGATGAACATTCCCTATGATAGAGCAGGTTGGAATCACTCCTTTTGTAGTATCTGGAAGTGGACATTTGGAGCGCTTTCAGGCCTATGTTGAAAAAGGAAATATCTTCCCATAACAACTAGACACAAGCATTCTCAGAAACTTGTTTGTGATGTGTGCCCTCTACTGACAGAGTTGAACCATTCTTTTCATAGAGCAGTTTCGAAACACTCTTTTTGTAGAATCTGCAAGAGGATATTTGCATAGCTTTGAGGATTTCGTGGGAAACGGGATTGTCTTCAGGTAAAATCTAGACAGAAGCATTCTCAGAAAATTCTTCGGGATGTTTGCATTCAAGTCACAGAGTAGAACATTCCCTTTGGTAGAGCAGGTTTGAAACACTCTTTTTGTAGTATCTGGAAGTGGACATTTGGAGCGCTTTCAGGCCTATGTTGGAAAGGGAAATATCTTCCCGTAACAACTAGGCAGAAGCATTCTCAGAAACTTATTTGAGATGTGTGTACTGAACTAAGAGAATTGAACCACCGTTTTGAAGGAGCAGGTTTGAAACACTCTTTTTGTAGTATCTGGAAGTGGACATTTGGAGCGCTTTCAGGCCTATGTTGGAAAGGGAAATATCTTCCCGTAACAACTAGGCAGAAAGCATTCTCAGAAACTTATTTGAGATGTGTGTACTCAACTAAGAGAATTGAACCACCGTTTTGAAGGAGCAGTTTTGAAACACTCTTTTTCTGGAATCTGCAAGAGGATATTTGCATAGATTTGAGGATTTCGTTGGAAACGGGATTGTCTTCAGATCCAATCTAGACAGAAGCATTCTCAGAAACTTCTTTGGGATGTTTGCATTCAAGTCACAGAGTAGAACATTCCCTTTGGTAGAGCAGGTTTGAAACACTCTTTTTTTAGTATATGGAAGTGGACATTTGGAGCGCTTTCAGGCCTACGTTGGAAAAGGAAATATCTTCCCATAACAACTAGACAGAAGCATTCTCAGAAACTAGTTTCTGATGTGTGTCCTCAACTAACACAGTTGTACATTTCTTTAGACAGAACAGTTTTGAAACACTCTTTTTGTGGAATCTGCAAGTGGATATTGGGCTAGATTTGAGGATTTCGTTGGAAACGGGATTACATATAAAAAGCAGTCAGCAGCATTCTCAGAAACTTCTTTGTGATGATTGCATTCAAGTCACAGAATTGAACATTCCCTTTCACAGAGCAGGTTTGAAACACTCTTTTTGTAGTGTGTGTAAGTGGACATTTGGAGCCCTTTCCGGCCTAAGGTGAACAAGGAAATATCTTCCCATAAAAACTAGACAGAAGCATTCTCAGAAACTTACTCGTGATGTGTGTCCTCAACTAAAGGAGTAGAACCTTTCTTTTCATAGAGAAGTTTTGAAACGCTCTTTTTGTGGAATCTGCAAGTGGATATTTGGCTAGTTTTGAGGATTTCGTTGGAAGCGGGAATTCATACAAATTGCAAACTGCAGCGTTCTGAGAAACATCTTTGTGATGTTTGTATTCAGGACACAGAGATGAACATTCCCTATCATAGAGCAGGTTGGAATCACTCCTTTTGTAGTATCTGGAAGTGGACATTTGGAGCGCTTTCAGGCCTACGTTGAAAAAGGAAATATCTTCCCATAACAACTAGACACAAGCATTTTCAGAAACTTATTTGAGATGTGTGTACTCAACTAAGAGAATTGAACCACCGTTTTGAAGGAGCAGTTTTGAAACTCTCTTTTTCTGGAATCTGCAAGTGGATATTTGGCTAGCTTTGGGGATTTCGCTGGAAGCGGGAATACATATAAAAAGCACAAAGCAGCGTTCTGAGAAACTGCTTTCTGATGTTTGCATTCAAGTCAAAAGTTGAACACTCCCTTTCATAGAGCAGTCTTGAAACACCCCTTTTGTAGTATCTGGAACTGGACTTTTGGAGCGATTTCAGGGCTAAGGTGAAAAAGGAAATATCTTCCCATAAAAACTGGACAGAAGCATTCTCAGAAACTTGTTTATGCTGTATCTACTCAACTAACAAAGTTGAACCTTTCTTTTGATAGAGCAGTTTTGAAATGGTCTTTTTGTGGAATCTGCAAGTGGATATTTGGCTAGTTTTGAGGATTTCGTTGGAAGCGGTAATTCATACAAATTGCAGACTGCAGCGTTCTGAGAAACATCTTTGTGATGTTTTTATTCAGGACACAGAGTTGAACATTCCCTGTCCTAGAGCAGGTTGGAATCACTCCTTTTGTAGTATCTGGAAGTGGACATTTGGAGCGCTTTCAGGCCTATTTTGGAAAGGGAAATATCTTCCCATAACAACTATGCAGAAGCATTCTCAGAAACTTGTTTGTGATGTGTGCCCTCTACTGACAGAGTTGAACCTTTCTTTTCATAGAGCAGTTTTGAAACACTCTTTTTGTAGAATCTGCAAGAGGATATTTGCATAGCTTTGAGGATTTCGTGGGAAACGGGATTGTCTTCAGGTAAAATCTAGACAGAAGCATTCTCAGAAACTTCTTTGGGATGTTTGCATTCAAGTCACAGAGGAGAACATTCCCTTTGGTAGAGTAGGTTTGAAACACTCTTTTTGTAGTATCTGGAAGTGGACATTTGGAGCGCTTTCAGGCCCATGTTGGAAAGGGAAATATCTTCCCGTAACAACTAGGCAGAAGCATTCTCAGAAACTTATTTGAGATGTGTGTACTCAACTAAGAGAATTGAACCACCGTTTTGAAGGAGCAGTTTTGAAACACTCTTTTTCTGGAATCTGCAAGAGTATATTTGCCTAGCCTTGAGGATTTCGTTGGAAACGGGATTGTCTTCAGATAAAATCTAGACAGAAGCATTCTCAGAAACTTCTTTGGGATGTTTGCATTCAAGTCACAGAGTAGAACATTCCCTTTGGTAGAGCAGGTTTGAAACACTCTTTTTTTAGTATATGGAAGTGGACATTTGGAGCGCTTTCAGGCCTACGTTGGAAAAGGAAATATCTTCCCATAACAACTAGACAGAAGCATTCTCAGAAACTAGTTTCTGATGTGTGTCCTCAACTAACACAGTTGAACATTTCTTTAGACAGAACAGTTTTGAAACACTCTTTTTGTGGTATCTGCAAGTGGCTATTTGGCTAGATTTGAGGATTTCGTTGGAAACGGGATTACATATAAAAAGCAGACAGCAGCATTCTCAGAAACTTCTTTGTGATGATTGCATTCAAGTCACAGAATTGAACATTCCCTTTCACAGAGCAGGTTTGAAACACTCTTTGTATAGTGTGTGTAAGTGGACATTTGGAGCACTTTCCGGCCTAAGGTGAAAAAGGAAATATCTTCCCATAAAAACTAGACAGAAGCATTCTCAGAAAGTTACTCGTGATGTGTGTCCTCAACTAAAGAAGTAGAACCTTTCTTTTCATAGATAAGTTTTGAAACGCTCTTTTTGTGGAATCTGCAAGTGGATATTTGGCTAGTTTTGAGGATTTCGTTGGAAGCGGTAATTCATACAAATTGCAGACTGCAGCGTTCTGAGAAACATCTTTGTGATGTTTGTATTCAGGACACAGAGTTGAACATTCCCTATCATAGAGCAGGTTGGAATCACTCCTTTTGTAGTATCTGGAAGTGGACATTTGGAGCGCTTTCAGGCCTATGTTGAAAAAGGAAATATCTTCCCATAACAACTAGACACAAGCATTCTCAGAAACTTGTTTGTGATGTGTGCCCTCTACTGACAGAGTTGAACCTTTCTTTTCATAGAGCAGTTTTGAAACACTCTTTTTGTAGAATCTGCAAGAGGATATTTGCATAGCTTTGAGGATTTCGTGGGAAACGGGATTGTCTTCAGGTAAAATCTAGACAGAAGCATTCTCAGAAACTTCTTTGGGATGTTTGCATTCAAGTCACAGAGCAGAACATTCCCTTTGGTAGAGCAGGTTTGAAACACTCTTTTTGTAGTATCTGGAAGTGGACATTTGGAGCGCTTTCAGGCCTATGTTGGAAAGGGAAATATCTTCCCGTAACAACTAGGCAGAAGCATTCTCAGAAACTTATTTGAGATGTGTGTACTCAACTAAGAGAATTGAACCACCGTTTTGAAGGAGCAGTTTTGAAACACTCTTTTTCTGGAATCTGCAAGAGGATATTTGCCTAGCCTTGAGGATTTCGTTGGAAACGGGATTGTCTTCAGATCAAATCTAGACAGAAGCATTCTCAGAAACTTCTTTGGGATGTTTGCATTCATGTCACAGAGTAGAACATTCCCTTTGGTAGAGCAGGTTTGAAACACTCTTTTTTTAGTATATGGAAGTGGACATTTGGAGCGCTTTCAGGCCTACGTTGGAAAAGGAAATATCTTCCCATAACAACTAGACAGAAGCATTCTCAGAAACTAGTTTCTGATGTGTGTCCTCAACTAACACAGTTGAACATTTCTTTAGACAGAACAGTTTTGAAACACTCTTTTTGTGGAATCTGCAAGTGGCTATTTGGCTAGATTTGAGGATTTCGTTGGAAACGGGATTACATATAAAAAGCAGACAGCAGCATTCTCAGAAAGTTCTTTGTGATGATTGCATTCAAGTCACAGAATTGAACATTCCCTTTCACAGAGCAGGTTTGAAACACTCTTTTTGTAGTGTGTGTAAGTGGACATTTGGAGCACTTTCCGGCCTAAGGTGAAAAAGGAAATATCTTCCCATAAAAACTAGACAGAAGCATTCTCAGAAACTTACTCGTGATGTGTGTCCTCAACTAAAGGAGTAGAACCTTTCTTTTCATAGAGAAGTTTTGAAACGCTCTTTTTGTGGAATCTGCAAGTGGATATTTGGCTAGTTTTGAGGATTTCGTTGGAAGTGGGAATTCATACAAATTGCAGACTGCAGCGTTCTGAGAAACATCTTTGTGATGTTTGTATTCAGGACACAGAGTTGAACATTCCCTATCATAGAGCAGGTTTGAATCACTCCTTTTGTAGTATCTGGAAGTGGACATTTGGAGCGCTTTCAGGCCTATGTTGGAAAAGGAAATATCTTCCCATAACAACTAGACAGAAGCATTCCCAAAAACTTATTTGAGATGTGTGTACTCAACTATGAGAATTGAACCACCGTTTTGAAGGAGCAGTTTGGAAACACTCTTTTTCTGGAATCTGCAAGTGGATATTTGGCTAGCTTTGGGGATTTCGCTGGAAGCGGGAATATATATAAAAAGCACACAGCAGCGTTCTGAGAAACTGCTTTCTGATGTTTGCATTCAAGTCAAAAGTTGAACACTCCCTTTCATAGAGCAGTCCTGAAACACCCCTTTCGTAGTATCTGGAACTGGACTTTTGGAGCGATTTCAGGGCTAAGGTGAAAAAGGAAATATCTTCCCATAAAAACTGGACAGAAGCATTCTCAGAAACTTGTTTATGCTGTATCTACTCAACTAACAAAGTTGAACCTTTCTTTTGATAGAGCAGTTTTGAAATGGTCTTTTTGTGGAATCTGCAAGTGGATATTTGGCTAGTTTTGAGGATTTCGTTGGAAGCGGGAATTCATACAAATTGCAGACTGCAGCGTTCTGAGAAACATCTTTGTGATGTTTGTATTCAGGACACAGAGTTGAACATTCCCTATCATAGAGCAGGTTGGAATCACTCCTTTTGTAGTATCTGGAAGTGGACATTTGGAGCGCTTTCAGGCCTATTTTGGAAAGGGAAATATCTTCCCGTAACAACTATGCAGAAGCATTCTCAGAAACTTGTTTGTGATGTGTGCTCTCTACTGACAGAGTTGAACCTTTCTTTTCATAGAGCAGTTTTGAAACACTCTTTTTGTAGAATCTGCAAGAGGATATTTGCATAGCTTTGAGGGTTTCGTGGGAAACGGGATTGTCTTCAGGTAAAATCTAGACAGAAGCATTCTCAGAAACTTCTTTGGGATGTTTGCATTCAAGTCACAGAGTAGAACATTCCCTTTGGTAGAGCAGGTTTGAAACACTCTTTTTGTAGTATCTGGAAGTGGACATTTGGAGCGCTTTCAGGCCTATGTTGGAAAGGGAAATATCTTCCCGTAACAACTAGGCAGAAGCATTCTCAGAAACTTATTTGAGATGTGTGTACTCAACTAAGAGAATTGAACCACCGTTTTGAAGGAGCAGTTTTGAAACACTCTTTTTCTGGAATCTGCAAGAGGATATTTGCCTAGCCTTGAGGATTTCGTTGGAAACGGGATTGTCTTCAGATCAAATCTAGACAGAAGCATTCTCAGAAACTTCTTTGGGATGTTTGCATTCAAGTCACAGAGTAGAACATTCCCTTTGGTAGAGCAGGTTTGAAACACTCTTTTTTTAGTATATGGAAGTGGACATTTGGAGCGCTTTCAGGCCTACGTTGGAAAAGGAAATATCTTCCCATAACAACTAGACAGAAGCATTCTCAGAAACTAGTTTCTGATGTGTGTCCTCAACTAACACAGTTGAACATTTCTTTAGACAGAACAGTTTTGAAACTCTCTTTTTGTGGAATCTGCAAGTGGCTATTTGGCTAGATTTGAGGATTTCGTTGGAAACGGGATTACATATAAAAAGCAGACAGCACCATTCTCAGAACGTTCTTTGTGATGATTGCATTCAAGTCACAGAATTGAACATTCCCTTTCACAGAGCAGGTTTGAAACACTCTTTTTGTAGTGTGTGTAAGTGGACATTTGGAGCGCTTTCCGGCCTAAGGTGAAAAAGGAAATATCTTCCCATAAAAACTAGACAGAAGCATTCTCAGAAACTTACTCGTGGTGTGTGTCCTCAACTAAAGGAGTAGAACCTTTCTTTTCATAGAGAAGTTTTGAAACGCTCTTTTTGTGGAATCTGCAAGTGGATATTTGGCTAGTTTTGAGGATTTCGTTGGAAGCGGGAATTCATACAAATTGCAGACTGCAGCGTTCTGAGAAACATCTGTGTGATGTTTGTATTCAGGACACAGAGTTGAACATTCCTTATCATAGAGCAGGTTTGAATCACTCCTTTTGTAGTATCTGGAAGTGGACATTTGGAGCGCTTTCAGGCCTATGTTGGAAAAGGAAATATCTTCCCATAACAACTAGACAGAAGCATTCTCAGAAACTTATTTGAGATGTGTGTACTCAACTAAGAGAATTGAACCACCGTTTTGAAGGAGCAGTTTTGAAACACTCTTTTTCTGGAATCTGCAAGTGGATATTTGGCTAGCTTTGGGGATTTCGCTGGAAGCGGGAATACATATAAAAAGCACACAGCAGCGTTCTGAGAAACTGCTTTCTGATGTTTGCATTCAAGTCAAAAGTTGAACACTCCCTTTCATAGAGCAGTCTTGAAACACCCCTTTTGTAGTATATGGAACTGGACATTTGGAGCGCTTTCAGGGCTAAGGTGAAAAAGGAAATACCTTCCCATAAAAACTGGACAGAAGCATTCTCAGAAACTTGTTTATGCTGTATCTACTCAACTAACAAAGTTGAACCTTTCTTTTGATAGAGCAGTTTTGAAATGCTCTTTTTGTGGAATCTGCAAGTGGATATTTGGCTAGGTTTGAGGATTTCGTTGGAAGCGGGAATTCATACAAATTGCAGACTGCAGCGTTCTGAGAAACATCTTTGTGATGTTTGTATTCAGGACACAGAGTTGAACATTCCCTATCATAGCGCAGGTTGGAATCACTCCTTTTGTAGTATCTGGAAGTGGACATTTGGAGCGCTTTCAGGCCTATGTTGAAAAAGGAAATATCTTCCCATAACAACTAGGCAGAAGCATTCTCAGAAACTTATTTGAGATGTGTGTACTCAACTAAGAGAATTGAACCACCGTTTTGAAGGAGCAGTTTTGAAACACTCTTTTTCTGGAATCTGCAAGTGGATATTTGGCTAGCTTTGGGGATTTCGCTGGAGGCGGGAATACATATAAAAAGCACACAGCAGCGTTCTGAGAAACTGCTTTCTGATGTTTGCATTCAAGTCAAAAGTTGAACACTCCCTTTCATAGAGCAGTCCTGAAACACCCCTTTTGTAGTATCTGGAACTGGACTTTTGGAGCGATTTCAGGGCTAAGGTGAAAAAGGAAATATCTTCCCATAAAAACTGGACAGAAGCATTCTCAGAAACTTGTTTATGCTGTATCTACTCAACTAACAAAGTTGAACTTTTCTTTTGATAGAGCAGTTTTGAAATGCTCTTTTTGTGGAATCTGCAAGTGGATATTTGGCTAGTTTTGAGGATTTCGTTGGAAGCGGGAATTCATACAAATTGCAGACTGCAGCGTTCTGAGAAACATCTTTGTGATGTTTGTATTCAGGACACAGAGTTGAACATTCCCTATCATAGAGCAGGTTGGAATCACTCCTTTTGTAGTATCTGGAAGTGGACATTTGGAGCGCTTTCAGGCCTATTTTGGAAAGGGAAATATCTTCCCGTAACAACTATGCAGAAGCATTCTCAGAAACTTGTTTGTGATGTGTGCCCTCTACTGACAGAGTTGAACCTTTCTTTTCATAGAGCAGTTTTGAAACACTCTTTTTGTAGAATCTGCAAGAGGATATTTGCATAGCTTTGAGGATTTCGTGGGAAACGGGATTGTCTTCCGGTAAAATCTAGACAGAAGCATTCTCAGAAACTTCTTTGGGATGTTTGCATTCAAGTCACAGAGTAGAACATTCCCTTTGGTAGAGCAGGTTTGAAACACTCTTTTTGTAGTATCTGGAAGTGGACATTTGGAGCGCTTTCAGGCCCATGTTGGAAAGGGAAATATCTTCCCGTAACAACTAGGCAGAAGCATTCTCAGAAACTTATTTGAGATGTGTGTACTCAACTAAGAGAATTGAACCACCGTTTTGAAGGAGCAGTTTTGAAACACTCTTTTTCTGGAATCTGCAAGAGTATATTTGCCTAGCCTTGAGGATTTCGTTGGAAACGGGATTGTCTCAGAGAAAATCTAGACAGAAGCATTCTCAGAAACTTCTTTGGGATGCTTGCATTCAAGTCACAGAGTAGAACATTCCCTTTGGTAGAGCAGGTTTGAAACACTCTTTTTGTAGTATCTGGAAGTGGACATTTGGAGCGCTTTCAGGCCTACGTTGGAAAAGGAAATATCTTCCCATAACAACTAGACAGAAGCATTCTCAGAAACTAGTTTCTGATGTGTGTCCTCAACTAACACAGTTGAACATTTCTTTAGACAGAACAGTTTTGAAACACTCTTTTTGTGGAATCTGCAAGTGGCTATTTGGCTAGATTTGAGGATTTCGTTGGAAACGGGATTACATATAAAAAGCAGTCAGCAGCATTCTCAGAAAGTTCTTTGTGATGATTGCATTCAAGTCACAGAATTGAACATTCCCTTTCACAGAGCAGGTTTGAAACACTCTTTTTGTAGTGTGTGTAAGTGGACATTTGGAGCACTTACCGGCCTAAGGTGAAAAAGGAAATATCTTCCCATAAAAACTAGACAGAAGCATTCTCAGAAACTTACTCGTGATGTGTGTCCTCAACTAAAGGAGTAGAACCTTTCTTTTCATAGAGAAGTTTTGAAACGCTCTTTTTGTGGAATCTGCAAGTGGATATTTGGCTAGTTTTGAGGATTTCGTTGGAAGCGGGAATTCATACAAATTGCAGACTGCAGCGTTCTGAGAAACATCTTTGTGATGTTTGTATTCAGGACACAGAGTTGAACATTCCCTATCATAGAGCAGGTTTGAATCACTCCTTTTGTAGTATCTGGAAGTGGACATTTGGAGCGCTTTCAGGCCTATGTTGGAAAAGGAAATATCTTCCCATAACAACTAGACAGAAGCATTCTCAGAAACTTATTTGAGATGTGTGTACTCAACTAAGAGAATTGAACCACCGTTTTGAAGGAGCAGTTTTGAAACACTCTTTTTCTGGAATCTGCAAGTGGATATTTGGCTAGCTTTGGGGATTTCGCTGGAAGCGGGAATACATATAAAAAGCACACAGCAGCGTTCTGAGAAACTGCTTTCTGATGTTTGCATTCAAGTCAAAAGTTGAACACTCCCTTTCATAGAGCAGTCCTGAAACACTCCTTTTGTAGTATCTGGAACTGGACTTTTGGAGCGCTTTCAGGGCTAAGGTGAAAAAGGAAATATCTTCCCATAAAAACTGGACAGAAGCATTCTCAGAAACTTGTTTATGCTGTATCTACTCAACTAACAAAGTTGAACCTTTCTTTTGATAGAGCAGTTTTGAAATGCTCTTTTTGTGGAATCTGCAAGTGGATATTTGGCTAGTTTTGAGGATTTCGTTGGAAGCGGGAATTCATACAAATTGCAGACTGCAGCGTTCTGAGAAACTTCTTTGTGATGTTTGTATTCAGGACACAGAGTTGAACATTCCCTATCATAGAGCAGGTTTGAATCACTCCTTTTGTAGTATCTGGAAGTGGACATTTGGAGCGCTTTCAGGCCTATGTTGGAAAAGGAAATATCTTCCCATAACAAATAGACAGAAGCATTCTCAGAAACTTGTTTGTGATGTGTGCCCTCTACTGACAGAGTTGAACCTTTCTTTTCATAGAGCAGTTTTGAAACACTCTTTTTGTAGAATCTGCAAGAGGATATTTGCATAGCTTTGAGGATTTCGTGGGAAACGGGATTGTCTTCAGGTAAAATCTAGACAGAAGCATTCTCAGAAACTTCTTTGGGATGTTTGCATTCAAGTCACAGAGTAGAACATTCCCTTTGGTAGAGCAGGTTTGAAACACTCTTTTTGTAGTATCTGGAAGTGGACATTTGGAGCGCTTTCAGGCCTATGTTGGAAAGGGAAATATCTTCCCGTAACAACTAGGCAGAAGCATTCTCAGAAACTTATTTGAGATGTGTGTACTCAACTAAGAGAATTGAACCACCGTTTTGAAGGAGCAGTTTTGAAACACTCTTTTTCTGGAATCTGCAAGAGTATATTTGCCTAGCCTTGAGGATTTCGTTGGAAACGGGATTGTCTTCAGAGAAAATCTAGACAGAAGCATTCTCAGAAACTTCTTTGGGATGTTTGCATTCAAGTCACAGAGTAGAACATTCCCTTTGGTAGAGCAGGTTTGAAACACTCTTTTTTTAGTATATGGAAGTGGACATTTGGAGCGCTTTCAGGCCTACGTTGGAAAAGGAAATATCTTCCCATAACAACTAGACAGAAGCATTCTCAGAAACTAGTTTCTGCTGTGTGTCCTCAACTAACACAGTTGAACATTTCTATAGACAGAACAGTTTTGAAACACTCTTTTTGTGGAATCTGCAAGTGGCTATTTGGCTAGATTTGAGGATTTCGTTGGAAACGGGATTACATATAAAAAGCAGTCAGCAGCATTCTCAGAAAGTTCTTTGTGATGATTGCATTCAAGTCACAGAATTGAACATTCCCTTTCACAGAGCAGGTTTGAAACACTCTTTTTGTAGTGTGTGTAAGTGGACATTTGGAACCCTTACCGGCCTAAGGTGAAAAAGGAAATATCTTCCCATAAAAACTAGACAGAAGCATTCTCAGAAACTTACTCGTGATGTGTGTCCTCAACTAAAGGAGTAGAACCTTTCTTTTCATAGAGAAGTTTTGAAACGCTCTTTTTGTGGAATCTGCAAGTGGATATTTGGCTAGTTTTGAGGATTTCGTTGGAAGCGGGAATTCATACAAATTGCAGACTGCAGCAGTCTCAGAAAGTTCTTTGTGATGATTGCATTCAAGTCACAGAATTGAACATTCCCTTTCACAGAGCAGGTTTGAAACACTCTTTTTGTAGTGTGTGTAAGTGGACATTTGGAGCACTTTCCGGCCTAAGGTGAAAAAGGAAATATCTTCCCATAAAAACTAGACACAAGCATTCTCAGAAACTTATTTGAGATGTGTGTACTCAACTAAGAGAATTGAACCACCGTTTTGAAGGAGCAGTTTTGAAACACTCTTTTTCTGGAATCTGCAAGTGGATATTTGGCTAGCTTTGGGGATTTCGCTGGAAGCGGGAATACGTATAAAAAGCACACAGCAGCGTTCTGAGAAACTGCTTTCTGATGTTTGCATTCAAGTCAAAAGTTGAACACTCCCTTTCATAGAGCAGTCTTGAAACACCCGTTTTGTAGTATCTGGAACTGGACTTTTGGAGCGATTTCAGGGCTAAGGTGAAAAAGGAAATATCTTCCCATAAAAACTGGACAGAAGCATTCTCAGAAACTTGTTTATGCTGTAACTACTCAACTAACAAAGTTGAACCTTTCTTTTGATAGAGCAGTTTTGAAATGGTCTTTTTGTGGAATCTGCAAGTGGATATTTGGCTAGTTTTGAGGATTTCGTTGGAAGCGGGAATTCATACAAATTGCAGACTGCAGCGTTCTGAGAAACATCTTTGTGATGTTTGTATTCAGGACAGAGAGTTGAACATTCCCTATCATAGAGCAGGTTGGAATCACTCCTTTTGTAGTATCTGGAAGTGGACATTTGGAGCGCTTTCTGGCCTATGTTGAAAAAGGAAATATCTTCCCATAACAACTAGACACAAGCATTCTCAGAAACTTGTTTGTGATGTGTGCCCTCTACTGACAGAGTTGAACCTTTCTTTTCATAGAGCAGTTTTGAAACACTCTTTTTGTAGAATCTGCAAGAGGATATTTGCATAGCTTTGAGGATTTCGTGGGAAACGGGATTGTCTTCAGGTAAAATCTAGACAGAAGCATTCTCAGAAACTTCTTTGGGATGTTTGCATTCAAGTCACAGAGTAGAACATTCCCTTTGGTAGAGCAGGTGTGAAACACTCTTTTTTTAGTATATGGAAGTGGACATTTGGAGCGCTTTCAGGCCTATGTTGGAAAGGGAAATATCTTCCGGTAACAACTAGGCAGAAGCATTCTCAGAAACTTATTTGAGATGTGTGTACTCAACTAACAGAATTGAACCACCGTTTTGAAGGAGCAGTTTTGAAACACTCTTTTTCTGGAATCTGCAAGAGGATATTTGCCTAGCCTTGAGGATTTCGTTGGAAACGGGATTGTCTTCAGATCAAATCTAGACAGAAGCATTCTCAGAAACTTCTTTGGGATGTTTGCATTCAAGTCACAGAGTAGAACATTCCCTTTGGTAGAGCAGGTTTGAAACACTCTTTTTTTAGTATATGGAAGTGGACATTTGGAGCGCTTTCAGGCCTACGTTGGAAAAGGAAATACCTTCCCATAACAACTAGACAGAAGCATTCTCAGAAACTAGTTTCTGATGTGTGTCCTCAACTAACACAGTTGAACATTTCTTTAGACAGAACAGTTTTGAAACACTCTCTTTGTGGAATCTGCAAGTGGATATTTGGCTAGATTTGAGGATTTCGTTGGAAACGGGATTACATATAAAAAGCAGACAGCAGCATTCTCAGAAAGTTCTTTGTGATGATTGCATTCAAGTCACAGAATTGAACATTCCCTTTCACAGAGCAGGTTTGAAACACTCTTTTTGTAGTGTGTGTAAGTGGACATTTGGAGCACTTTCCGGCCTAAGGTGAAAAAGGAAATATCTTCCCTTAAAAACTAGACAGAAGCATTCTCAGAAACTTACTCGTGATGTGTGTCCTCAACTAAAGGAGTAGAACCTTTCTTTTCATAGAGAAGTTTTGAAACGCTCTTTTTGTGGAATCTGCAAGTGGATATTTGGCTAGTTTTGAGGATTTCGTTGGAAGCGGGAATTCATACAAATTGCAGACTGCAGCGTTCTGAGAAACATCTTTGTGATGTTTGTATTCAGGACACAGAGTTGAACATTCCCTATCATAGAGCAGGTTTGAATCACTCCTTTTGTAGTATCTGGAAGTGGACATTTGGAGCGCTTTCAGGCCTATGTTGCAAAAGGAAATATCTTCCCATAACAACTAGACAGAAGCATTCTCAGAAACTTATTTGAGATGTGTGTACTCAACTAAGAGAATTGAACCACCGTTTTGAAGGAGCAGTTTTGAAACACTCTTTTTCTGGAATCTGCAAGTGGATATTTGGCTAGCTTTGGGGATTTCGCTGGAAGCGGGAATACATATAAAAAGCACACAGCAGCGTTCTGAGAAACTGCTTTCTGATGTTTGCATTCAAGTCAAAAGTTGAACACTCCCTTTCATAGAGCAGTCTTGAAACACCCCTTTTGTAGTATCTGGAACTGGACATTTGGAGCGCTTTCAGGGCTAAGGTGAAAAAGGAAATATCTTCCCATAAAAACTGGACAGAAGCATTCTCAGAAACTTGTTTATGCTGTATCTACTCAACTAACAAAGTTGAACCTTTCTTTTGATAGAGTAGTTTTGAAATGCTCTTTTTGTGGAATCTGCAAGTGGATATTTGGCTAGTTTTGAGGATTTCGTTGGAAGCGGGAATTCATACAAATTGCAGACTGCAGCGTTCTGAGAAACATCTTTGTGATGTTTGTATTCAGGACACAGAGTTGAACATTCCCTATCATAGAGCAGGTTGGGATCACTCCTTTTGTAGTATCTGGAAGTGGACATTTGGAGCGCTTTCAGGCCTATGTTGAAAAAGGAAAAATCTTCCCATAACAACTAGACAGAAGCATTCTCAGAAACTTGTTGGTGATGTGTTTCCTCTACTGACAGAGTTGAACCTTTCTTTTCATAGAGCAGTTTCGAAACACTCTTTTTGTAGAATCTGCAAGAGGATATTTGCATAGCTCTGAGGATTTCGTGGGAAACGGGATTGTCTTCAGGTAAAATCCTAGACAGAAGCATTCTCAGAAACTTCTTCGGGATGTTTGCATTCAAGTCACAGAGTAGAACATTCCCTTTGGTAGAGCAGGTTTGAAACACTCTTTTTGTCGTATCTGGAAGTGGACATTTGTTGCGCTTTCAGGCCTATGTTGGAAAGGGAAATATCTTCCCGTAACAACTAGGCAGAAGCATTCTCAGAAACTTATTTGAGATGTGTGTACTCAACTAACAGAATTGAACCACCGTTTTGAAGGAGCAGTTTGGAAACACTCTTTTTCTGGAATCTGCAAGAGGATATTTGCCTAGCTTTGAGGATTTCGTTGGAAAAGGGATTGTCTTCAGATCAAATCTAGACAGAAGCATTCTCAGAAACTTCTTTGGGATGTTTGCATTCAAGTCACAGAGTAGAACATTCCTTTGGTAGAGCAGGTTTGAAACACTCTTTTTTTAGTATATGGAAGTGGACATTTGGAGCGCTTTCAGGCCTACGTTGGAAAAGGAAATATCTTCCCATAACAACTAGACAGAAGCATTCTCAGAAACTAGTTTCTGATGTGTGTCCTCAACTAACACAGTTGAACATTTCTTTAGAGAGAACAGTTTTGAAACACTCTTTTTGTGGAATCTGCAAGTGGATATTTGGCTAGATTTGAGGATTTCGTTGGAAACGGGATTACATATAAAAAGCAGACAGCAGCATTCTCAGAAACTTCTTTGTGATGATTGCATTCAAGTCACAGAATTGAACATTCCCTTTCACAGAGCAGGTTTGAAACACTCTTTTTGTAGTGTGTGTAAGTGGACATTTGGAGCGCTTTCCGGCCTAAGGTGAACAAGGAAATATCTTCCCATAAAAACTAGACAGAAGCATTCTCAGAAACTTACTCGTGATGTGTGTCCTCAACTAAAGGAGTAGAACCTTTCTTTTCATAGAGAAGTTTTGAAACGCTCTTTTTGTGGAATCTGCAAGTGGATATTTGGCTAGTTTGGAGGATTTCGTTGGAAGCGGGAATTCATACAAGATGCAGACTGCAGCGTTCTGAGAAACATCTTTGTGATGTTTGTATTCAGGACACAGAGTTGAACATTCCCTATCATAGAGCAGGTTTGAATCACTCCTTTTGTAGTATCTGGAAGTGGACATTTGGAGCGCTTTCAGGCCTATGTTGGAAAAGGAAATATCTTCCCATAACAACTAGACAGAAGCATTCCCAGAAACTTATTTGAGATGTGTGTACTCAACTAAGAGAATTGAACCACCGTTTTGAAGGAGCAGTTTGGAAACACTCTTTTTCTGGAATCTGCAAGTGGATATTTGGCTAGCTTTGGGGATTTCGCTGGAAGCGGGAATACATATAAAAAGCATACAGCAGCGTTCTGAGAAACTGCTTTCTGATGTTTGCATTCAAGTCAAAAGTTGAACACTCCCTTTCATAGAGCAGTCCTGAAACACTCCTTTTGTAGTATCTGGAACTGGACTTTTGGAGCGCTTTCAGGGCTAAGGTGAAAAAGGAAATATCTTCCCATAAAAACTGGACAGAAGCATTCTCAGAAACTTGTTTATGCTGTATCTACTCAACTAACAAAGTTGAACCTTTCTTTTGATAGAGCAGTTTTGAAATGCTCTTTTTGTGGAATCTGCAAGTGGATATTTGGCTAGTTTTGAGGATTTCGTTGGAAGCGGGAATTCATACAAATTGCAGACTGCAGCGTTCTGAGAAACATCTTTGTGATGTTTGTATTCAGGACAGAGAATTGAACATTCCCTATCATAGAGCAGGTTGGAATCACTCCTTTTGTAGTATCTGGAAGTGGACATTTGGAGCGCTTTCAGGCCTATGTTGAAAAAGGAAATATCTTCCCATAACAACTAGACACAAGCATTCTCAGAAACTTGTTTGTGATATGTGCCCTCTACTGACAGAGTTGAACCTTTCCTTTCATAGAGCAGTTTCCAAACACTCTTTGTGTAGAATCTGCAAGAGGATATTTGCATAGCTTTGAGGATTTCGTTGGAAACGGGATTGTCTTCAGGAAAAATCTAGACAGAAGCATTCTCAGAAACTTCTTTGGGATGTTTGCATTCAAGTCACAGAGTAGAACATTCCCTTTGGTAGAGCAGGTTTGAAACACTCTTTTTGTAGTATCTGGAAGTGGACATTTGGAGCGCTTTCAGGCCTATGTTGGAAAAGGAAATATCTTCCCATAACAACTAGACAGAAGCATTCTCAGAAACCAGTTTCTGATGTGGGTCCTCAACTAACAGAGTTGAACCTTTCTTTTGACAGACCAGTTTTGAAACACTCTTTTTGAGGAATCTGCAAGTGGATATTTGGCTAGATTTGAGGATTTCGTTGGAAACGGGATTACGTATAAAAAGCAGACAGCAGCATTCTCAGAAACTTCTTTGTGATGATTGCATTCAAGTCACAGAATTGAACATTCCCTTTCACAGAGCAGGTTTGAAACACTCTTTTTGTAGTGTGTGTAAGTGGACATTTGGAGCGCTTTCCGGCCTAAGGTGAACAAGGAAAATATCTTCCCATAAAAACTAGACAGAAGCATTCTCAGAAACTTACTCGTGATGTGTGTCCTCAACTAAAGGAGTAGAACCTTTGTTTTCATAGAGAAGTTTTGAAACGCTCTTTTTGTGGAATCTGCAAGTGGATATTTGGCTAGTTTGGAGGATTTCGTTGGAAGCGGGAATTCATACAAATTGCAGACTGCAGCGTTCTGAGAAACATCTTTGTGATGTTTGTATTCAGGACACAGAGATGAACATTCCCTATCATAGAGCAGGTTGGAATCACTCCTTTTGTAGTATCTGGAAGTGGACATTTGGAGCGCTTTCAGGTCTATGTTGAAAAAGGAAATATCTTCCCATAACAACTAGACACAAGCATTCTCAGAAACTTGTTTGTGATGTGTGCCCTCTACTGACAGAGTTGAACCTTTCTTTTCATAGAGCAGTTTTGAAACACTCTTTTTGTAGAATCTGCAAGAGGGTATTTGCATAGCTTTGAGGATTTCGCGGGAAACGGGATTGTCTTCAGGTAAAATCTAGACAGAAGCATTCTCAGAAACTTCTTTGGGATGTTTGCATTCAAGTCACAGTAGTAGAACATTCCCTTTGGTAGAGCAGGTTTGAAACACTCTTTTTGTAGTATCTGGAAGTGGACATTTGGAGCGCTTTCAGGCCTATGTTGGAAAGGGAAATATCTTCCCGTAACAACTAGGCAGAAGCATTCTCAGAAACTTATTTGAGATGTGTGTACTCAACTAAGAGAATTGAACCACCGTTTTGAAGGAGCAGTTTTGAAACACTCTTTTTCTGGAATCTGCAAGAGTATATTTGCCTAGCCTTGAGGATTTCGTTGGAAACGGGATTGTCTTCAGAGAAAATCTAGACAGAAGCATTCTCAGAAACTTCTTTGGGATGTTTGCATTCAAGTCACAGAGTAGAACATTCCCTTTGGTAGAGCAGGTTTGAAACACTCTTTTTTTAGTATATGGAAGTGGACATTTGGAGCGCTTTCAGGCCTACGTTGGAAAAGGAAATATCTTCCCATAACAACTAGACAGAAGCATTCTCAGAAACTAGTTTCTGATGTGTGTCCTCAAGTAACACAGTTGAACATTTCTTTAGACAGAACAGTTTTGAAACACTCTTTTTGTGGAATCTGCAAGTGGCTATTTGGCTAGATTTTAGGATTTCTTTGGAAACGGGATTACATATAAAAAGCTGACAGCAGCATTCTCAGAAAGTTCTTTGTGATGATTGCATTCAAGTCACAGAATTGAACATTCCCTTTCACAGAGCAGGTTTGAAACACTCTTTTTGTAGTGTGTGTAAGTGGACATTTGGAGCACTTACCGGCCTAAGGTGAAAAAGGAAATATCTTCCCATAAAAACTAGACAGAAGCATTCTCAGAAACTTACTCGTGATGTGTGTCCTCAACTAAAGGAGTAGAACCTTTCTTTTCATAGAGAAGTTTTGAAACGCTCTTTTTGTGGAATCTGCAAGTGGATATTTGGCTAGTTTTGAGGATTTCGTTGGAAGCGGGAATTCATACAAATTGCAGACTGCAGCGTTCTGAGAAACATCTTTGTGATGTTTGTATTCAGGACACAGAGTTGAACATTCCCTATCATAGAGCAGGTTTGAATCACTCCTTTTGTAGTATCTGGAAGTGGACATTTGGAGCGCTTTCAGGCCTATGTTGGAAAAGGAAATATCTTCCCATAACAACTAGACAGAAGCATTCTCAGAAACTTATTTGAGATGTGTGTACTCAACTAAGAGAATTGAACCACCGTTTTGAAGGAGCAGTTTTGAAACACTCTTTTTCTGGAATCTGCAAGTGGATATTTGGCTAGCTTTGGGGATTTCGCTGGAAGCGGGAATACATATAAAAAGCACACAGCAGCGTTCTAAGTAAACTGCTTTCTGATGTTTGCATTCAAGTCAAAAGTTGAACACTCCCTTTCATAGAGCAGTCTTGAAACACCCCTTTTGTAGTATCTGGAACTGGACTTTTGGAGCGCTTTCAGGGCTAAGGTGAAAAAGGAAATATCTTCCCATAAAAACTGGACAGAAGCATTCTCAGAAACTTGTTTATGCTGTATCTACTCAACTAACAAAGTTGAACCTTTCTTTTGATAGAGCAGTTTTGAAATGGTCTTTTTGTGGAATCTGCAAGTGGATATTTGGCTAGTTTTGAGGATTTCGTTGGAAGCGGGAATTCATACAAATTGCAGACTGCAGCGTTCTGAGAAACATCTTTGTGATGTTTGTATTCAGGACACAGAGTTGAACATTCCCTATCATAGAGCAGGTTGGAATCACTCCTTTTGTAGTATCTGGAAGTGGACATTTGGAGCGCTTTCAGGCCTATGTTGGAAAAGGAAATATCTTCCCATAACAACTAGACAGAAGCATTCTCAGAAACTTATTTGAGATGTGTGTACTCAACTAAGAGAATTGAACCACCGTTTTGAAGGAGCAGTTTTGAAACTCTCTTTTTCTGGAATCTGCAAGTGGATATTTGGCTAGCTTTGGGGATTTCGCTGGAAGCGGGAATACATATAAAAAGCACACAGCAGCGTTCTGAGAAACTGCTTTCTGATGTTTGCATTCAAGTCAAAAGTTGAACACTCCCTTTCATAGAGCAGTCTTGAAACACCCCTTTTGTAGTATCTGGAACTGGACTTTTGGAGCGATTTCAGGGCTAAGGTGAAAAAGGAAATATCTTCCCATAAAAACTGGACAGAAGCATTCTCAGAAACTTGTTTATGCTGTATCTACTCAACTAACAAAGTTGAACCTTTCTTTTGATAGAGCAGTTTTGAAATGGTCTTTTTGTGGAATCTGCAAGTGGATATTTGGCTAGTTTTGAGGATTTCGTTGGAAGCGGGAATTCATACAAATTGCAGACTGCAGCGTTCTGAGAAACATCTTTGTGATGTTTGTATTCAGGACACAGAGTTGAACATTCCCTATCATAGAGCAGGTTGGAATCACTCCTTTTGTAGTATCTGGAAGTGGACATTTGGAGCGCTTTCAGGCCTATTTTGGAAAGGGAAATATCTTCCCGTAACAACTATGCAGAAGCATTCTCAGAAACTTGTTTGTGATGTGTGCCCTCTACTGACAGAGTTGAACCTTTCTTTTCATAGAGCAGTTTTGAAACACTCTTTTTGTAGAATCTGCAAGAGGATATTTGCATAGCTTTGAGGATTTCCTGGGAAACGGGATTGTCTTCAGGTAAAATCTAGACAGAAGCATTCTCAGAAACTTCTTTGGGATGTTTGCATTCAAGTCACAGAGTAGAACATTCCCTTTGGTAGAGCAGGTTTGAAACACTCTTTTTGTAGTATCTGGAAGTGGACATTTGGAGCGCTTTCAGGCCCATGTTGGAAAGGGAAATATCTTCCCGTAACAACTAGGCAGAAGCATTCTCAGAAACTTATTTGAGATGTGTGGACTCAACGAAGAGAATTGAACCACCGTTTTGAAGGAGCAGTTTTGAAACACTCTTTTTCTGGAATCTGCAAGAGTATATTTGCCTAGCCTTGAGGATTTCGTTGGAAACGGGATTGTCTTCAGATAAAATCTAGACAGAAGCATTCTCAGAAACTTCTTTGGGATGTTTGCATTCAAGTCACAGAGTAGAACATTCCCTTTGGTAGAGCAGGTTTGAAACACTCTTTTTTTAGTATATGGAAGTGGACATTTGGAGCGCTTCAGGCCTACGTTGGAAAAGGAAATATCTTCCCATAACAACTAGACAGAAGCATTCTCAGAAACTAGTTTCTGATGTGTGTCCTCAACTAACACAGTTGTACATTTCTTTAGACAGAACAGTTTTGAAACACTCTTTTTGTGGAATCTGCAAGTGGATATTGGGCTAGATTTGAGGATTTCGTTGGAAACGGGATTACATATAAAAAGCAGTCAGCAGCATTCTCAGAAAGTTCTTTGTGATGATTGCATTCAAGTCACAGAATTGAACATTCCGTTTCACAGAGCAGGTTTGAAACACTCTTTTTGTAGTGTGTGTAAGTGGAGATTTGGAGCGCTTTCCGGCCTAAGGTGAAAAAGGACATATCTTCCCATAAAAACTAGACAGAAGCATTCTCAGAAACTTACTCGTGATGTGTGTCCTCAACTAAAGGAGTAGAACCTTTCTATTCATAGAGAAGTTTTGAAACGCTCTTTTTGTGGAATCTCCAAGTGGATATTTGGCTAGTTTTGAGGATTTCGTTGGAAGCGGGAATTCATACAAATTGCAGACTGCAGCGTTCTGAGAAACATCTTTGTGATGTTTGTATTCAAGACACAGAGATGAACATTCCCTATCATAGAGCATGTTGGAATCACTCCTTTTGTACTATCTGGAAGTGGACATTTGGAGCGCTTTCAGGCCTATGTTGAAAAAGGAAATATCTTCCCATAACAACTAGACACAAGCGTTCTCAGAAACTTGTTTGTGATGTGTGCCCTCTACTGACAGAGTTGAACCTTTCTTTTCATAGAGCAGTTTTGAAACACTCTTTTTGTAGAATCCGCAAGAGGATATTTGCATAGCTTTGAGGATTTCGTGGGAAACGGGATTGTCTTCAGGTAAAATCTAGACAGAAGCATTCTCAGAAACTTCTTTGGGATGTTTGCATTCAAGTCACAGAGTAGAACATTCCCTTTGGTAGAGCAGGTTTGAAACACTCTTTTTGTAGTATCTGGAAGTGGACATTTGGAGCGCTTTCAGGCCCATGTTGGAAAGGGAAATATCTTCCCGTAACAACTAGGCAGAAGCATTCTCAGAAACTTATTTGAGATGTGTGTACTCAACTAAGAGAATTGAACCACCGTTTTGAAGGAGCAGTTTTGAAACCCTCTTTTTCTGGAATCTGCAAGAGTATATTTGCCTAGCCTTGAGGATTTCGTTGGAAACGGGATTGTCTTCAGATAAAATCTAGACAGAAGCATTCTCAGAAACTTCTTTGGGATGTTTGCATTCAAGTCACAGAGTAGAACATTCCCTTTGGTAGAGCAGGTTTGAAACACTCTTTTTTTAGTATATGGAAGTGGACATTTGGAGCGCTTTCAGGCCTACGTTGGAAAAGGAAATATCTTCCCATAACAACTAGACAGAAGCATTCTCAGAAACTAGTTTCTGATGTGTGTCCTCAACTAACACAGTTGTACATTTCTTTAGACAGAACAGTTTTGAAACACTCTTTTTGTGGAATCTGCAAGTGGATATTGGGCTAGATTTGAGGATTTCGTTGGAAACGGGATTACATATAAAAAGCAGACAGCAGCATTCTCAGAAAGTTCTTTGTGATGATTGCATTCAAGTCACAGAATTGAACATTCCCTTTCACAGAGCAGGTTTGAAACATTCTTTTTGTAGTGTGTGTAAGTGGACATTTGGAGCGCTTTCCGGCCTAAGGTGAAAAAGGAAATATCTTCCCATAAAAACTAGACAGAAGCATTCTCAGAAACTTACTCGTGATGTGTGTCCTCAACTAAAGGAGTAGAACCTTTCTATTCATAGAGAAGTTTTGAAACGCTCTTTTTGTGGAATCTCCAAGTGGATATTTGGCTAGTTTTGAGGATTTCGTTGGAAGCGGGAATTCATACAAATTGCAGACTGCAGCGTTCTGAGAAACATCTTTGTGATGTTTGTATTCAGGACACAGAGATGAACATTCCCTATCATAGAGCAGGTTGGAATCACTCCTTTTGTAGTATCTGGAAGTGGACATTTGGAGCGCTTTCAGGCCTATGTTGAAAAAGGAAATATCTTCCCATAACAACTAGACACAAGCATTCTCAGAAACTTATTTGAGATGTGTGTACTCAACTAAGAGAATTGAACCACCGTTTTGAAGGAGCAGTTTTGAAACTCTCTTTTTCTGGAATCTGCAAGTGGATATTTGGCTAGCTTTGGGGATTTCGCTGGAAGCGGGAATACATATAAAAAGCACACAGCAGCGTTCTGAGAAACTGCTTTCTGATGTTTGCATTCAAGTCAAAAGTTGAACACTCCCTTTCATAGAGCAGTCCTGAAACACCCCTTTTGTAGTATCTGGAACTGGACTTTTGGAGCGATTTCAGGGCTAAGGTGAAAAAGGAAATATCTTCCCATAAAAACTGGACAGAAGCATTCTCAGAAACTTGTTTATGCTGTATCTACTCAACTAACAAAGTTGAACCTTTCTTTTGATAGAGCAGTTTTGAAATGGTCTTTTTGTGGAATCTGCAAGTGGATATTTGGCTAGTTTTGAGGATTTCGTTGGAAGCGGGAATTCATACAAATTGCAGACTGCAGCGTTCTGAGAAACATCTTTGTGATGTTTGTATTCAGGACACAGTAGGATGAACATTCCCTATCATAGAGCAGGTTGGAATCACTCCTTTTGTAGTATCTGGAAGTGGACATTTGGAGCGCTTTCAGGCCTATGTTGAAAAAGGAAATATCTTCCCATAACAACTAGACACAAGCATTCTCAGAAACTTGTTTGTGATGTGTGCCCTCTACTGACAGAGTTGAACCTTTCTTTTCATAGAGCAGTTTTGAAACACTCTTTTTGTAGAATCTGCAAGAGGATATTTGCATAGCTTTGAGGATTTCGTGGGAAACGGGATTGTCTTCAGGTAAAATCTAGACAGAAGCATTCTCAGAAACTTCTTTGGGATGTTTGCATTCAAGTCACAGAGTAGAACATTCCGTTTGGTAGAGCAGGTTTGAAACACTCTTTTTGTAGTATCTGGAAGTGGACATTTGGAGCGCTTTCAGGCCTATGTTGGAAAGGGAAATATCTTCCCTTAACAACTAGGCAGAAGCATTCTCAGAAACTTATTTGAGATGTGTGTACTCAACTAAGAGAATTGAACCACCCCTTTTGAAGGAGCAGTTTTGAAACACTCTTTTTCTGGAATCTGCAAGAGGATATTTGCCTAGCCTTGAGGATTTCGTTGGAAACGGGATTGTCTTCAGATCAAATCTAGACAGAAGCATTCTCAGAAACTTCTTTGGGATGTTTGCATTCAAGTCACAGAGTAGAACATTCCCTTTGGTAGAGCAGGTTTGAAACACTCTTTTTTTAGTATATGGAAGTGGACATTTGGAGCGCATTCAGGCCTACGATGGAAAAGGAAATATCTTCCCATAACAACTAGACAGAAGCATTCTCAGAAACTAGTTTCTGATGTGTGTCCTCAACTAACACAGTTGAACATTTCTTTAGACAGAACAGTTTTGAAACACTCTTTTTGTGGAATCTGCAAGTGGCTATTTGGCTAGATTTGAGGAT
Source organism: Homo sapiens (assembly GCF_000001405.40). Lineage (NCBI taxonomy): Eukaryota > Metazoa > Chordata > Mammalia > Primates > Hominidae > Homo > Homo sapiens. The sequence continues at coordinate 18,796,036 of NC_000018.10, forward strand.
TTCGTTAGAAACGGGATTACATATAAAAAGCAGTCAGCAGCATTCTCAGAAAGTTCTTTGTGATGATTGCATTCAAGTCACAGAATTGAACATTCCCTTTCACAGAGCAGGTTTGAAACACTCTTTTTGTAGTGTGTGTAAGTGGACATTTGGAGCACTTACCGGCCTAAGGTGAAAAAGGAAATATCTTCCCATAAAAACTAGACAGAAGCATTCTCAGAAACTTACTCGTGATGTGTGTCCTCAACTAAAGGAGTAGAACCTTTCTTTTCATAGAGAAGTTTTGAAACGCTCTTTTTGTGGAATCTGCAAGTGGGTATTTGGCTAGTTTTGAGGATTTCGTTGGAAGCGGGAATTCATACAAATTGCAGACTGCAGCGTTCTGAGAAACATCTTTGTGATGTTTGTATTCAGGACACAGAGTTGAACATTCCCTATCATAGAGCAGGTTTGAATCACTCCTTTTGTAGTATCTGGAAGTGGACATTTGGAGCGCTTTCAGGCCTATGTTGGAAAAGGAAATATCTTCCCATAACAACTAGACAGAAGCATTCTCAGAAACTTATTTGAGATGTGTGTACTCAACTAAGAGAATTGAACCACCGTTTTGAAGGAGCAGTTTTGAAACACTCTTTTTCTGGAATCTGCAAGTGGATATTTGGCTAGCTTTGGGGATTTCGCTGGAAGCGGGAATACATATAAAAAGCACACAGCAGCGTTCTGAGAAACTGCTTTCTGATGTTTGCATTCAAGTCAAAAGTTGAACACTCCCTTTCATAGAGCAGTCCTGAAACACTCCTTTTGTAGTATCTGGAACTGGACTTTTGGAGCGCTTTCAGGGCTAAGGTGAAAAAGGAAATATCTTCCCATAAAAACTGGACAGAAGCATTCTCAGAAACTTGTTTATGCTGTATCTACTCAACTAACAAAGTTGAACCTTTCTTTTGATAGAGCAGTTTTGAAATGCTCTTTTTGTGGAATCTGCAAGTGGATATTTGGCTAGTTTTGAGGATTTCGCTGGAAGCGGGAATTCATACAAATTGCAGACTGCAGCGTTCTGAGAAACATCTTTGTGATGTTTGTATTCAGGACACAGAGTTGAACATTCCCTATCATAGAGCAGGTTGGAATCACTCCTTTTGTAGTATCTGGAAGTGGACATTTGGAGCGCTTTCAGGCCTATGTTGAAAAAGGAAATATCTTCCCATAACAACTAGACAGAAGCATTCTCAGAAACTTGTTTGTGATGTGTGCCCTCTACTGACACAGTTGAACCTTTCTTTTCATAGAGCAGTTTCGAAACACTCTTTTTGTAGAATCTGCAAGAGGATATTTGCATAGCTTTGAGGATTTCGTGGGAAACGGGATTGTCTTCAGGTAAAATCTAGACAGAAGCATTCTCAGAAACTTCTTTGGGATGTTTGCATTCAAGTCACAGAGTAGAACATTCCCTTTGGTAGAGCAGGTTTGAAACACTCTTTTTGTAGTGTGTGTAAGTGGACATTTGGAGCGCTTTCAGGCCTACGTTGGAAAAGGAAATATCTTCCCATAACAACTAGACAGAAGCATTCTCAGAAACTAGTTTCTGATGTGTGTCCTCAACTAACACAGTTGAACATTTCTTTAGACAGAACAGTTTTGAAACACTCTTTTTGTGGAATCTGCAAGTGGATATTTGGCTAGATTTGAGGATTTCGTTGGAAACGGGATTACATATAAAAAGCAGACAGCAGCATTCTCAGAAACTTCTTTGTGATGATTGCATTCAAGTCACAGAATTGAACATTCCCTTTCACAGAGCAGGTTTGAAACACTCTTTTTCTAGTGTGTGTAAGTGGACATTTGGAGCGCTTTCCGGCCTAAGGTGAACAAGGAAATATCTTCCCATAAAAACTAGACTGAAGCATTCTCAGAAACTTAATCGTGATGTGTGTCCTCAACTAAAGGAGTAGAACCTTTCTTTTCATAGAGAAGTTTTGAAACGCTCTTTTTGTGGAATCTGCAAGTGGATATTTGGCTAGTTTGGAGGATTTCGTTGGAAGCGGGAATTCATACAAATTGCAGACTGCAGCGTTCTGAGAAACTGCTTTCTGATGTTTGCATTCAAGTCAAAAGTTGAACACTCCCGTTCATAGAGCAGGCTTGAAACACCCCTTTTGTAGTATCTGGAAGTGGACATTTGGAGCACTTTCAGGGCTAAGGTGATAAAGGAAATGTCTTCCCATAAAAACTGGACAGAGGCATTCTCAGAAACTTGTCCATGCTGTATCTACTCAACTAACAAAGTTGAACCTTTCCTTTGATAGAGCAGTTTTGAAATGCTCTTTTTCTGGAATCTGCAAGTGGATATTTGGCTAGTTTTGAGGATTTCGTTGGAAGCGGGAATTCATACGAATTGCAGACTGCAGCGTTCTGAGAAACATCTTTGTGATGTTTGTATTCAGGACACAGGGTTGAACATTACCTATCGTAGAGCGGGTTGGAATCACTCCTTTTGTAGTATCTGGAAGTGGCCATTTGGAGCGCTTTCAGGCCTATGTTGAAAAAGGAAATATCTTCCCAAAACAACTAGACAGAAGCATTCTCAGAAACTTGTTTGTGATGTGTGCCCTCTACTGACAGAGTTGAACCTTTCCTTTCATAGAGCAGTTTCGAAACACTCTTTGTGTAGAATCTGCAAGAGGATATTTGCATAAGTTTGAGGATTTCGTTGGAAACGGGATTGTCTTCAGGTAAAATCTAGACAGAAGCATTCTCAGAAACTTCTTTGGGATGTTTGCATTCAAGTCACAGAGGAGAACATTCCCTTTGGTAGAGCAGGTTTGAAACACTCTTTTTGTAGTATCTGGAAGTGGACATTTGGAGCGCTTTCAGAACTACGTTGGAAAAGGAAATATCTTCCCATAACAACTAGACAGAAGCATTCTCAGAAACTAGTTTCTGATGTGTGTCCTCAACTAACACAGTTGAACATTTCTTTAGACAGAACAGTTTTGAAACACTCTTTTTGTGGAATCTGCAAGTGGCTATTTGGCTAGATTTGAGGATTTCGTTGGAAACGGGATTACATATAAAAAGCAGTCAGCAGCATTCTCAGAAAGTTCTTTGTGATGATTGCATTCAAGTCACAGAATTGAACATTCCCTTTCACAGAGCAGGTTTGAAACACTCTTTTTGTAGTGTGTGTAAGTGGACATTTGGAGCGCTTTCCGGCCTAAGGTGAAAAAGGAAATATCTTCCCATAAAAACTAGACAGAAGCATTCTCAGAAACTTACTCGTGATGTGTGCCCTCAACTAAAGGAGTAGAACCTTTCTTTTCATAGAGAAGTTTTGAAACGCTCTTTTTGTGGAATCTGCAAGTGGATATTTGGCTAGTTTTGAGGATTTCGTTGGAAGCGGGAATTCATACAAATTGCAGACTGCAGCGTTCTGAGAAACATCTTTGTGATGTTTGTATTCAGGACACAGATTTGAACATTCCCTATCATAGAGCAGGTTTGAATCACTCCTTTTGTAGTATCTGGAAGTGGACATTTGGAGCGCTTTCAGGCCTATGTTGGAAAAGGAAATATCTTCCCATAACAACTAGACAGAAGCATTCTCAGAAACTTATTTGAGATGTGTGTACTCAACTAAGAGAATTGAACCACCGTTTTGAAGGAGCAGTTTTGAAGCACTCTTTTTCTGGAATCTGCAAGTGGATATTTGGCTAGCTTTGGGGATTTCGCTGGACGCGGGAATACATATAAAAAGCACACAGCAGCGTTCTGAGAAACTGCTTTCTGATGTTTGCATTCAAGTCAAAAGTTGAACACTCCCTTTCATAGAGCAGTCTTGAAACACCCCTTTTGTAGTATCTGGAACTGGACTTTTGGAGCGATTTCAGGGCTAAGGTGAAAAAGGAAATATCTTCCCATAAAAACTGGACAGAAGCATTCTCAGAAACTTGTTTATGCTGTATCTACTCAACTAACAAAGTTGAACCTTTCTTTTGATAGAGCAGTTTTGAAATGGTCTTTTTGTGGAATCTGCAAGTGGATATTTGGCTAGTTTTGAGGATTTCGTTGGAAGCGGGAATTCATACAAATTGCAGACTGCAGCGTTATGAGAAACATCTTTGTGATGTTTGTATTCAGGACACAGAGATGAACATTCCCTATCATAGAGCAGGTTGGCATCACTCCTTTTGTAGTATCTGGAAGTGGACATTTGGAGCGCTTTCAGGCCTATGTTGAAAAAGGAAATATCTTCCCATAACAACTAGACACAAGCATTCTCAGAAACTTGTTTGTGATGTGTGCCCTCTACTGACAGAGTTGAACCTTTCTTTTCATAGAGCAGTTTTGAAACACTCTTTTTGTAGAATCTGCAAGAGGATATTTGCATAGCTTTGAGGATTTCGTGGGAAACGGGATTGTCTTCAGGTAAAATCTAGACAGAAGCATTCTCAGAAACTTCTTTGGGATGTTTGCATTCAAGTCACAGAGTAGAACATTCCCTTTGGTAGAGCAGGTTTGAAACAATCTTTTTGTAGTATCTGGAAGTGGACATTTGGAGCAGCATTCAAGCCCATGTTGGAAAGGGAAATATATTCCCGTAACAACTAGGCAGAAGCATTCTCAGAAACTTATTTGAGATGTGTGTACTCAACGAAGAGAATTGAACCACCGTTTTGAAGGAGCAGTTTTGAAACCCTCTTTTTCTGGAATCTGAAAGAGTATATTTGCCTAGCCTTGAGGATTTCGTTGGAAACGGGATTGTCTTCAGATAAAATCTAGACAGAAGCATTCTCAGAAACTTCTTTGGGATGTTTGCATTCAAGTCACAGAGTAGAACATTCCCTTTGGTAGAGCAGGTTTGAAACACTCTTTTTGTAGTATCTGGAAGTGGACATTTGGAGCGCTTTCAGGCCTATGTTGGAAAGGGAAATATCTTCCCGTAACAACTAGGCAGAAGCATTCTCAGAAACTTATTTGAGATGTGTGTACTCAACTAAGAGAATTGAACCACCGTTTTGAAGGAGCAGTTTTGAAACACTCTTTTTCTGGAATCTGCAAGAGGATATTTGCCTAGCTTTGAGGATTTCGTTGGAAACGGGATTGTGTTCAGATCAAATCTAGACAGAAGCATTCTCAGAAACTTCTTTGGGATGTTTGCATTCAAGTCACAGAGTAGAACATTCCCTTTGGTAGAGCAGGTTTGAAACACTCTTTTTTTAGTATATGGAAGTGGACATTTGGAGCGCTTTCAGGCCTACGTTGGAAAAGGAAATATCTTCCCATAACAACTAGACAGAAGCATTCTCAGAAACTAGTTTCTGATGTGTGTCCTCAACTAACACAGTTGAACATTTCTTTAGACAGAACAGTTTTGAAACACTCTCTTTGTGGAATCTGCAAGTGGATATTTGGCTAGATTTGAGGATTTCCGTTGGAAACGGGATTACATATAAAAAGCAGACAGCAGCATTCTCAGAAAGTTCTTTGTGATGATTGCATTCAAGTCACAGAATTGAACATTCCCTTTCACAGAGCAGGTTTGAAACACTCTTTTTGTAGTGTGTGTAAGTGGACATTTGGAGCACTTTCCGGCCTAAGGTGAAAAAGGACATATCTTCCCATAAAAAATAGACAGAAGCATTCTCAGAAACTTACTCGTGATGTGTGTCCTCAACTAAAGGAGTAGAACCTTTCTTTTCATAGAGAAGTTTTGAAACGCTCTTTTTGTGGAATCTGCAAGTGGATATTTGGCTAGTTTGGAGGATTTCGTTGGAAGCGGGAATTCATACAAATTGCAGACTGCAGCGTTCTGAGAAACATCTTTGTGATGTTTGTATTCAGGACACAGAGTTGAACATTCCCTATCATAGAGCAGGTTTGAATCACTCCTTTTGTAGTATCTGGAAGTGGACATTTGGAGCGCTTTCAGGCCTATGTTGGAAAAGGAAATATTTTCCCATAACAACTAGACAGAAGCATTCTCAGAAACTTATTTGAGATGTGTGTACTCAACTAAGAGAATTGAACCACCGTTTTGAAGGAGCAGTTTTGAAACACTCTTTTTCTGGAATCTGCAAGTGGATATTTGGCTAGCTTTGGGGATTTCGCTGGAAGCGGGAATACATATAAAAAGCACACAGCAGCGTTCTGAGAAACTGCTTTCTGATGTTTGCATTCAAGTCAAAAGTTGAACACTCCCTTTCATAGAGCAGTCTTGAAACACCCCTTTTGTAGTATCTGGAACTGGACTTTTGGAGCGCTTTCAGGGCTAAGGTGAAAAAGGAAATATCTTCCCATAAAAACTGGACAGAAGCATTCTCAGAAACTTGTTTATGCTGTATCTACTCAACTAACAAAGTTGAACCTTTCTTTTGATAGAGCAGTTTTGAAATGGTCTTTTTGTGGAATCTGCAAGTGGATATTTGGCTAGTTTTGAGGATTTCGTTGGAAGCGGGAATTCATACAAATTGCAGACTGCAGCGTTCTGAGAAACATCTTTGTGATGTTTGTATTCAGGACACAGAGTTGAACATTCCCTATCATAGAGCAGGTTTGAATCACTCCTTTTGTAGTATCTGGAAGTGGACATTTGGAGCGCTTTCAGGCCTATGTTGGAAAAGGAAATATCTTCCCATAACAACTAGACAGAAGCATTCTCAGAAACTTATTTGAGATGTGTGTACTCAACTAAGAGAATTGAACCACCGTTTTGAAGGAGCAGTTTTGAAACACTCTTTTTCTGGAATCTGCAAGTGGATATTTGGCTAGCTTTGGGGATTTCGCTGGAGGCGGGAATACATATAAAAAGCACACAGCAGCGTTCTGAGAAACTGCTTTCTGATGTTTGCATTCAAGTCAAAAGTTGAACACTCCCTTTCATAGAGCAGTCCTGAAACACTCCTTTTGTAGTATCTGGAACTGGACTTTTGGAGCGCTTTCAGGGCTAAGGTGAAAAAGGAAATATCTTCCCATAAAAACTGGACAGAAGCATTCTCAGAAACGTGTTTATGCTGTATCTACTCAACTAACAAAGTTGAACCTTTCTTTTGATAGAGCAGTTTTGAAATGCTCTTTTTGTGGAATCTGCAAGTGGATATTTGGCTAGTTTTGAGGATTTCGTTGGAAGCGGGAATTCATACAAATTGCAGACTGCAGCGTTCTGAGAAACATCTTTGTGATGTTTGTATTCAGGACAGAGAGTTGAACATTCCCTATCATAGAGCAGGTTGGAATCACTCCTTTTGTAGTATCTGGAAGTGGACATTTGGAGCGCTTTCAGGCCTATGTTGAAAAAGGAAATATCTTCCCATAACAACTAGACACAAGCATTCTCAGAAACTTGTTTGTGATGTGTGCCCTCTAGTGACAGAGTTGAACCTTTCTTTTCATAGAGCAGTTTTGAAACACTCTTTTTGTAGAATCTGCAAGAGGATATTTGCATAGCTTTGAGGATTTCGTGGGAAACGGGATTGTCTTCAGGTAAAATCTAGACAGAAGCATTCTCAGAAACTTCTTTGGGATGTTTGCATTCAAGTCACAGAGTAGAACATTCCCTTTGGTAGAGCAGGTTTGAAACACTCTTTTTGTAGTATCTGGAAGTGGACATTTGGAGCGCTTTCAGGCCTATGTTGGAAAGGGAAATATCTTCCCGTAACAACTAGGCAGAAGCATTCTCAGAAACTTATTTGAGATTTGTGTACTCAACTAAGAGAATTGAACCACCGTTTTGAAGGAGCAGTTTTGAAACACTCTTTTTCTGGAATCTGCAAGAGGATTATTTGCCTAGCCTTGAGGATTTCGTTGGAAACGGGATTGTCTTCAGATCAAATCTAGACAGAAGCATTCTCAGAAACTTCTTTGGGATGTTTGCATTCAAGTCACAGAGTAGAACATTCCCTTTGGTAGAGCAGGTTTGAAACACTCTTTTTTTAGTATATGGAAGTGGACATTTGGAGCGCTTTCAGGCCTACGTTGGAAAAGGAAATATCTTCCCATAACAACTAGACAGAAGCATTCTCAGAAACTAGTTTCTGATGTGTGTCCTCAACTAACACAGTTGAACATTTCTTTAGACAGAACAGTTTTGAAACTCTCTTTTTGTGGAATCTGCAAGTGGCTATTTGGCTAGATTTGAGGATTTCGTTGGAAACGGGATTACATATAAAAAGCAGACAGCAGCATTCTCAGAAAGTTCTTTGTGATGATTGCATTCAAGTCACAGAATTGAACATTCCCTTTCACAGAGCAGGTTTGAAACACTCTTTTTGTAGTGTGTGTAAGTGGACATTTGGAGCACTTTCCGGCCTAAGGTGAAAAAGGAAATATCTTCCCATACAAACTAGACAGAAGCATTCTCAGAAACTTACTCGTGATGTGTGTCCTCAACTAAAGGAGTAGAACCTTTCTTTTCATAGAGAAGTTTTGAAACGCTCTTTTTGTGGAATCTGCAAGTGGATATTTGGCTAGTTTGGAGGATTTCGTTGGAAGCGGGAATTCATACAAATTGCAGACTGCAGCGTTCTGAGAAACATCTTTGTGATGTTTGTATTCAGGACACAGAGTTGAACATTCCCTATCATAGAGCAGGTTGGAATCACTCCTTTTGTAGTATCTGGAAGTGGACATTTGGAGCGCTTTCAGGCCTATGTTGGAAAAGGAAATATCTTCCCATAACAACTAGACAGAAGCATTCTCAGAAACTAGTTTCTGATGTGTGTCCTCAACTAACACAGTTGAACTTTTCTTTAGACAGAACAGTTTTGAAACACTCTTTTTGTGGAATCTGCAAGTGGATATTTGGCTAGATTTGAGGATTTCGTTGGAAACGGGATTACATATAAAAAGCAGACAGCAGCATTCTCAGAAAGTTCTTTGTGATGATTGCATTCAAGTCACAGAATTGAACATTCCCTTTCACAGAGCAGGTTTGAAACACTCTTTTTGTAGTGTGTGTAAGTGGACATTTGGAGCGCTTTCCGGCCTAAGGTGAAAAAGGAAATATCTTCCCATAAAAACTAGACAGAAGCATTCTCAGAAACTTACTCGTGATGTGTGTCCCCAACTAAAGGAGTAGAACCTTTCTATTCATAGAGAAGTTTTGAAACGCTCTTTTTGTGGAATCTCCAAGTGGATATTTGGCTAGTTTTGAGGATTTCATTGGAAGCGGGAATTCACACAAATTGCAGACTGCAGCGTTCTGAGAAACATCTTTGTGATGTTTGTATTCAGGACACAGAGATGAACATTCCCTATCATAGAGCAGGTTGGAATCACTCCTTTTGTAGTATCTGGAAGTGGACATTTGGAGCGCTTTCAGGCCTATGTTGAAAAAGGAAATATCTTCCCATAACAACTAGACACAAGCATTCTCAGCAAACTTATTTGAGATGTGTGTACTCAACTAAGAGAATTGAACCACCGTTTTGAAGGAGCAGTTTTGAAACACTCTTTTTCTGGAATCTGCAAGTGGATATTTGGCTAGCTTTGGGGATTTCGCTGGAAGCGGGAATACATATAAAAAGCACACAGCAGCGTTCTGAGAAACTGCTTTCTGATGTTTGCATTCAAGTCAAAAGTTGAACACTCCCTTTCATAGAGCAGTCCTGAAACACTCCTTTTGTAGTATCTGGAACTGGACTTTTGGAGCGCTTTCAGGGCTAAGGTGAAAAAGGAAATATCTTCCCATAAAAACTGGACAGAAGCATTCTCAGAAACTTGTTTATGCTGTATCTACTCAACTAACAAAGTTGAACCTTTCTTTTGATAGAGCAGTTTTGAAATGCTCTTTTTGTGGAATCTGCAAGTGGATATTTGGCTAGTTTTGAGGATTTCGCTGGAAGCGGGAATTCATACAAATTGCAGACTGCAGCGTTCTGAGAAACATCTTTGTGATGTTTGTATTCAGGACACAGAGTTGAACATTCCCTATCATAGAGCAGGTTGGAATCACTCCTTTTGTAGTATCTGGAAGTGGACATTTGGAGCGCTTTCAGGCCTATTTTGGAAAGGGAAATATCTTCCCGTAACAACTATGCAGAAGCATTCTCAGAAACTTGTTTGTGATGTGTGCCCTCTACTGACAGAGTTTAACCTTTCTTTTCATAGAGCAGTTTTGAAACACTCTTTTTGTAGAATCTGCAAGAGGATATTTGCATAGCTTTGAGGATTTCGTGGGAAACGGGATTGTCTTCAGGTAAAATCTAGACAGAAGCATTCTCAGAAACTTCTTTGGGATGTTTGCATTCAAGTCACAGAGTAGAACATTCCCTTTGGTAGAGCAGGTTTGAAACACTCTTTTTGTAGTATCTGGAAGTGGACATTTGGAGCGCTTTCAGGCCCATGTTGGAAAGGGAAATATCTTCCCGTAACAACTAGGCAGAAGCATTCTCAGAAACTTATTTGAGATGTGTGTACTCAACTAAGAGAATTGAACCACCGTTTTGAAGGAGCAGTTTTGAAACACTCTTTTTCTGGAATCTGCAAGAGTATATTTGCCTAGCCTTGAGGATTTCGTTGGAAACGGGATTGTCTTCAGAGAAAATCTAGACAGAAGCATTCTCAGAAACTTCTTTGGGATGTTTGCATTCAAGTCACAGAGTAGAACATTCCCTTTGGTAGAGCAGGTTTGAAACACTCTTTTTTTAGTATATGGAAGTGGACATTTGGAGCGCTTTCAGGCCTACGTTGGAAAAGGAAATATCTTCCCATAACAACTAGACAGAAGCATTCTCAGAAACTAGTTTCTGATGTGTGTCCTCAACTAACACAAGTTGAACATTTCTTTAGACAGAACAGTTTTGAAACACTCTTTTTGTGGAATCTGCAAGTGGCTATTTGGCTAGATTTGAGGATTTCGTTGGAAACGGGATTACATATAAAAAGCAGTCAGCAGCATTCTCAGAAAGTTCTTTGTGATGATTGCATTCAAGTCACAGAATTGAACATTCCCTTTCACAGAGCAGGTTTGAAACACTCTTTTTGTAGTGTGTGTAAGTGGACATTTGGAGCACTTACCGGCCTAAGGTGAAAAAGGAAATATCTTCCCATAAAAACTAGACAGAAGCATTCTCAGAAACTTACTCGTGATGTGTGTCCTCAACTAAAGGATTAGAACCTTTCTTTTCATAGAGAAGTTTTGAAACGCTCTTTTTGTGGAATCTGCAAGTGGATATTTGGCTAGTTTTGAGGATTTCGTTGGAAGCGGGAATTCATACAAATTGCAGACTGCAGCGTTCTGAGAAACATCTTTGTGATGTTTGTATTCAGGACACAGAGTTGAACATTCCCTATCATAGAGCAGGTTGGAATCACTCCTTTTGTAGTATCTGGAAGTGGACATTTGGAGCGCTTTCAGGCCTATGTTGGAAAAGGAAATATCTTCCCATAACAACTAGACAGAAGCATTCCCAGAAACTTATTTGAGATGTGTGTACTCAACTAAGAGAATTGAACCACCGTTTTGAAGGAGCAGTTTGGAAACTCTCTTTTTCTGGAATCTGCAAGTGGATATTTGGCTAGCTTTGGGGATTTCGCTGGAAGCGGGAATACATATAAAAAGCACACAGCAGCGTTCTGAGAAACTGCTTTCTGATGTTTGCATTCAAGTCAAAAGTTGAACACTCCCTTTCATAGAGCAGTCTTGAAACACCCCTTTTGTAGTATCTGGAACTGGACTTTTGGAGCGATTTCAGGGCTAAGGTGAAAAAGGAAATATCTTCCCATAAAAACTGGACAGAAGCATTCTCAGAAACTTGTTTATGCTGTATCTATTCAACTAACAAAGTTGAACCTTTCTTTTGATAGAGCAGTTTTGAAATGCTCTTTTTGTGGAATCTGCAAGTGGATATTTCGCTAGTTTTGAGGATTTCGTTGGAAGCGGGAATTCATACAAATTGCAGACTGCAGCGTTCTGAGAAACATATTTGTGATGTTTGTATTCAGGACACAGAGATGAACATTCCCTATCATAGAGCAGGGTGGAATCACTCTTTTTGTAGTATCTGGAAGTGGACATTTGGAGCGCTTTCAGGCCTATGTTGAAAAAGGAAATATCTTCCCATAACAACTAGACACAAGCATTCTCAGAAACTTATTTGAGATGTGTGTACTCAACTAAGAGAATTGAACCAGCGTTTTGAAGGAGCAGTTTTGAAACACTCTTTTTCTGGAATCTGCAAGTGGATATTTGGCTAGCTTTGGGGATTTCGCTGGAAGCGGAAATACATATAAAAAGCACACAGCAGCGTTCTGAGAAACTGCTTTCTGATGTTTGCATTCAAGTCAAAAGTTGAACACTCCCTTTCATAGAGCAGTCTTGAAACACCCCTTTTGTAGTATCTGGAACTGGACATTTGGAGCGCTTTCAGGGCTAAGGTGAAAAAGGAAATATCTTCCCATAAAAACTGGACAGGAAGCATTCTCAGAAACTTGTTTACGCTGTATCTACTCTACTAACAAAGTTGAACCTTTCTTTTGATAGAGCAGTTTTGAAATGCTCTTTTTGTGGAATCTGCAAGTGGATATTTGGCTAGTTTTGAGGATTTCGTTGGAAGCTGGAATTCATACAAATTGCAGACTGCAGCGTTCTGAGAAACATCTTTGTGATGTTTGTATTCAGGACACAGAGTTGAACATTCCCTATCATAGAGCAGGTTTGAATCACTCCTTTTGTAGTATCTGGAAGTGGACATTTGGAGCGCTTTCAGGCCCTATGTTGGAAAAGGAAATATCTTCCCATAACAACTAGACAGAAGCATTCTCAGAAACTTATTTGAGATGTGTGTACTCAACTAAGAGAATTGAACCACCGTTTTGAAGGAGCAGTTTTGAAACACTCTTTTTCTGGAATCTGCAAGTGGATATTTGGCTAGCTTTGGGGATTTCGCTGGAAGCGGGAATACATATAAAAAGCACACAGCAGCGTTCTGAGAAACTGCTTTCTGATGTTTGCATTCAAGTCAAAAGTTGAACACTCCCTTTCATAGAGCAGTCTTGAAACACCCCTTTTGTAGTATCTGGAACTGGACTTTTGGAGCGATTTCAGGGCTAAGGTGAAAAAGGAAATATCTTCCCATAAAAACTGGACAGAAGCATTCTCAGAAACTTGTTTATGCTGTATCTACTCAACTAACAAAGTTGAACCTTTCTTTTGATAGAGCAGTTTTGAAATGGTCTTTTTGTGGAATCTGCAAGTGGATATTTGGCTAGTTTTGAGGATTTCGTTGGAAGCGGGAATTCATACAAATTGCAGACTGCAGCGTTCTGAGAAACATCTTTGTGATGTTTGTACTCAGGACACAGAGTTGAACATTCCCTATCATAGAGCAGGTTGGGATCACTCCTTTTGTAGTATCTGGAAGTGGACATTTGGAGCGCTTTCAGGCCTATGTTGAAAAAGGAAAAATCTTCCCATAACAACTAGACAGAAGCATTCTCAGAAACTTGTTGGTGATGTGTTTCCTCTACTGACAGAGTTGAACCTTTCTTTTCATAGAGCAGTTTCGAAACACTCTTTTTGTAGAATCTGCAAGAGGATATTTGCATAGCTCTGAGGATTTCGTGGGAAACGGGATTGTCTTCAGGTAAAATCTAGACAGAAGCATTCTCAGAAACTTCTTCGGGGTGTTTGCATTCAAGTCACAGAGTAGAACATTCCCTTTGGTAGAGCAGGTTTGAAACACTCTTTTTGTCGTATCTGGAAGTGGACATTTGTTGCGCTTTCAGGCCTATGTTGGAAAGGGAAATATCTTCCCGTAACAACTAGGCAGAAGCATTCTCAGAAACTTATTTGAGATGTGTGTACTCAACTAAGAGAATTGAACCACCGTTTTGAAGGAGCAGTTTGGAAACACTCTTTTTCTGGAATCTGCAAGAGGATATTTGCCTAGCTTTGAGGATTTCGTTGGAAAAGGGATTGTCTTCAGATCAAATCTAGACAGAAGCATTCTCAGAAACTTCTTTGGGATGTTTGCATTCAAGTCACAGAGTAGAACATTCCTTTGGTAGAGCAGGTATGAAACACTCTTTTTTTAGTATATGGAAGTGGACATTTGGAGCGCTTTCAGGCCTACGTTGGAAAAGGAAATATCTTCCCATAACAACTAGACAGAAGCATTCTCAGAAACTAGTTTCTGATGTGTGTCCTCAACTAACACTGTTGAACTTTTCTTTAGACAGAATAGTTTTGAAACACTCTTTTTGTGGAATCTGCAAGTGGATATTTGGCTAGATTTGAGGATTTCGTTGGAAACGGGATTACATATAAAAAGCAGACAGCAGCATTCTCAGAAACTTCTTTGTGATGATTGCATTCAAGTCACAGAATTGAACATTCCCTTTCACAGAGCAGGTTTGAAACACTCTTTTTGTAGTGTGTGTAAGTGGACATTTGGAGCGCTTTCCGGCCTAAGGTGAACAAGGAAATATCTTCCCATAAAAACTAGACAGAAGCATTCTCAGAAACTTACTCGTGATGTGTGTCCTCAACTAAAGGAGTAGAACCTTTCTTTTCATAGAGAAGTTTTGAAACGCTCTTTTTGTGGACTCTGCAAGTGGATATTTGGCTAGTTTGGAGGATTTCGTTGGAAGCGGGAATTCATACAAATTGCAGACTGCAGCGTTCTGAGAAACATCTTTGTGATGTTTGTATTCAGGACACAGAGTTGAACATTCCCTATCATAGAGCAGGTTGGAATCACTCCTTTTGTAGTATCTGGAAGTGGACATTTGGAGCGCTTTCAGGCCTATGTTGAAAAAGGAAATATCTTCCCATAACAACTAGACAGAAGCATTCTCAGAAACTTGTTTGTGATGTGTGCCCTCTACTGACAGAGTTGAACCTTTCTTTTCATAGAGCAGTTTTGAAACACTCTTTTTGTAGAATCTGCAAGAGGATATTTGCATAGCTTTGAGGATTTCGTGGGAAACGGGATTGTCTTCAGGTAAAATCTAGACAGAAGCATTCTCAGAAACTTCTTTGGGATGTTTGCATTCAAGTCACAGAGTAGAACATTCCCTTTGGTAGAGCAGGTTTGAAACACTCTTTTTGTAGTATCTGGAAGTGGACATTTGGAGCGCTTTCAGGCCCATGCTGGAAAGGGAAATATCTTCCCGTAACAACTAGGCAGAAGCATTCTCAGAAACTTATTTGAGATGTGTGTACTCAACTAAGAGAATTGAACCACCGTTTTGAAGGAGCAGTTTTGAAACACTCTTTTTCTGGAATCTGCAAGAGGATATTTGCCTAGCCTTGAGGATTTCGTTGGAAACGGGATTGTCTTCAGATCAAATCTAGACAGAAGCATTCTCAGAAACTTCTTTGGGATGTTTGCATTCAAGTCACAGAGTAGAACATTCCCTTTGGTAGAGCAGGTTTGAAACACTCTTTTTTTAGTATATGGAAGTGGACATTTGGAGCGCTTTCAGGCCTACGTTGGAAAAGGAAATATCTTCCCATAACAACTAGACAGAAGCATTCTCAGAAACTAGTTTCTGATGTGTGTCCTCAACTAACACAGTTGAACATTTCTTTAGACAGAACAGTTTTGAAACTCTCTTTTTGTGGAATCTGCAAGTGGCTATTTGGCTAGATTTGAGGATTTCGTTGGAAACGGGATTACATATAAAAAGCAGACAGCAGCATTCTCAGAAAGTTCTTTGTGATGATTGCATTCAAGTCACAGAATTGAACATTCCCTTTCACAGAGCAGGTTTGAAACACTCTTTTTGTAGTGTGTGTAAGTGGACATTTGGAGCACTTTCCGGCCTAAGGTGAAAAAGGAAATATCTTCCCATAAAAACTAGACAGAAGCATTCTCAGAAACTTACTCGTGATGTGTGTCCTCAACTAAAGGAGTAGAACCTTTGTTTTCATAGAGAAGTTTTGAAACGCTCTTTTTGTGGAATCTGCAAGTGGATATTTGGCTAGTTTTGAGGATTTCGTTGGAAGCGGGAATTCATACAAATTGCAGACTGCAGCGTTCTGAGAAACATCTTTGTGATGTTTGTATTCAGGACACAGAGTTGAACATTCCCTATCATAGAGCAGGTTGGAATCACTCCTTTTGTAGTATCCGGAAGTGGACATTTGGAGCGCTTTCAGGCCTATGTTGGAAAAGGAAATATCTTCCCATAACAACTAGACAGAAGCATTCTCAGAAACTTATTTGAGATGTGTGTACTCAACTAAGAGAATTGAACCACCGTTTTGAAGGAGCAGTTTTGAAACACTCTTTTTCTGGAATCTGCAAGTGGATATTTGGCTAGCTTTGGGGATTTCGCTGGAAGCGGGAATACATATAAAAAGCACACAGCAGCGTTCTGAGAAACTGCTTTCTGATGTTTGCATTCAAGTCAAAAGTTGAACACTCCCTTTCATAGAGCAGTCTTGAAACACCCCTTTTGTAGTATCGGGAACTGGACATTTGGAGCGCTTTCAGGGCTAAGGTGAAAAAGGAAATATCTTCCCATAAAAACTGGACAGAAGCATTCTCAGAAACTTGTTTATGCTGTATCTACTCAACTAACAAAGTTGAACCTTTCTTTTGATAGAGCAGTTTTGAAATGCTCTTTTTGTGGAATCTGCAAGTGGATATTTGGCTAGTTTGGAGGATTTCGTTGGAAGCGGGAATTCATACAAATTGCAGACTGCAGCGTTCTGAGTAACATCTTTGTGATGTTTGTATTCAGGACACAGAGTTGAACATTCCCTATCATAGAGCAGGTTGGAATCACTCCTTTTGTAGTATCTGGAAGTGGCCATTTCGAGCGCTTTCAGGCCTATGTTGAAAAAGGAAATATCTTCCCATAACAAGTAGACACAAGCATTCTCAGAAACTTGTTTGTGATGTGTGCCCTCTACTGACAGAGTTGAACCTTTCTTTTCATAGAGCAGTTTTGAAACACTCTTTTTGTAGAATCTGCAAGAGGATATTTGCATAGCTTTGAGGATTTCGTTTGAAACGGGATTGTCTTCAGGTAAAATCTAGACAGAAGCATTCTCAGAAACTTCTTTGGGATGTTTGCATTCAAGTCACAGAGTAGAACATTCCCTTTGGTAGAGCAGGTTTGAAACACTCTTTTTGTAGTATCTGGAAGTGGACATTTGGAGCGCTTTCAGGCCTATGTTGGAAAGGGAAATATCTTCCCGTAACAACTAGGCAGAAGCATTCTCAGAAACTTATTTGAGATGTGTGTACTCAACTAAGAGAATTGAACCACCGTTTTGAAGGAGCAGTTTTGAAACACTCTTTTTCTGGAATCTGCAAGAGGATATTTGCCTAGCCTTGAGGATTTCGTTGGAAACGGGATTGTCTTCAGATCAAATCTAGACAGAAGCATTCTCAGAAACTTCTTTGGGATGTTTGCATTCAAGTCACAGAGTAGAACATTCCCTTTGGTAGAGCAGGTTTGAAACACTCTTTTTTTAGTATATGGAAGTGGACATTTGGAGCGCTTTCAGGCCTACGTTGGAAAAGGAAATATCTTCCCATAACAACTAGACAGAAGCATTCTCAGAAACTAGTTTCTGATGTGTGTCCTCAACTAACACAGTTGAACATTTCATTAGACAGAACAGTTTTGAAACACTCTTTTTGTGGAATCTGCAAGTGGCTATTTGGCTAGATTTGAGGATTTCGTTGGAAACGGGATTACATATAAAAAGCAGACAGCAGCATTCTCAGAAAGTTCTTTGTGATGATTGCATTCAAGTCACAGAATTGAACATTCCCTTTCACAGAGCAGGTTT
Source organism: Homo sapiens (assembly GCF_000001405.40). NCBI lineage: Eukaryota > Metazoa > Chordata > Mammalia > Primates > Hominidae > Homo > Homo sapiens. Next base: position 18,813,782 of record NC_000018.10, read on the forward strand.
GAAACACTCTTTTTGTAGTGTGTGTAAGTGGACATTTGGAGCACTTACCGGCCTAAGGTGAAAAAGGAAATATCTTCCCATAAAAACTAGACAGAAGCATTCTCAGAAACTTACTCGTGATGTGTGTCCTCAACTAAAGGAGTAGAACCTTTCTTTTCATAGAGAAGTTTTGAAACGCTCTTTTTGTGGAATCTGCAAGTGGATATTTGGCTAGTTTTGAGGATTTCGTTGGAAGCGGGAATTCATACAAATTGCAGAACTGCAGCGTTCTGAGAAACTGCTTTCTGATGTTTGCATTCAAGTCAAAAGTTGAACACTCCCTTTCATAGAGCAGTCCTGAAACACTCCTTTTGTAGTATCTGGAACTGGACTTTTGGAGCGCTTTCAGGGCTAAGGTGAAAAAGGAAATATCTTCCCATAAAAACTGGACAGAAGCATTCTCAGAAACTTGTTTATGCTGTATCTACTCAACTAACAAAGTTGAACCTTTCTTTTGATAGAGCAGTTTTGAAATGCTCTTTTTGTGGAATCTGCAAGTGGATATTTGGCTAGTTTTGAGGATTTCGTTGGAAGCGGGAATTCATAAAAATTGCAGACTGCAGCGTTCTGAGAAACATCTTTGTGATGTTTGTATTCAGGACACAGAGTTGAACATTCCCTATCATAGAGCAGGTTGGAATCACTCCTTTTGTAGTATCTGGAAGTGGACATTTGGAGCGCTTTCAGGCCTATGTTGAAAAAGGAAATATCTTCCCATAACAACTAGACACAAGCATTCTCAGAAACTTATTTGAGATGTGTGTACTCAACTAAGAGAATTGAACCACCGTTTTGAAGGAGCAGTTTTGAAACTCTCTTTTTCTGGAATCTGCAAGTGGATATTTGGCTAGCTTTGGGGATTTCGCTGGAAGCGGGAATACATATAAAAAGCACACAGCAGCGTTCTGAGAAACTGCTTTCTGATGTTTGCATTCAAGTCAAAAGTTGAACACTCCCTTTCATAGAGCAGTCCTGAAACACCCCTTTTGTAGTATCTGGAACTGGACTTTTGGAGCGATTTCAGGGCTAAGGTGAAAAAGGAAATATCTTCCCATAAAAACTGGACAGAAGCATTCTCAGAAACTTGTTTATGCTGTATCTACTCAACTAACAAAGTTGAACCTTTCTTTTGATAGAGCAGTTTTGAAATGGTCTTTTTGTGGAATCTGCAAGTGGATATTTGGCTAGTTTTGAGGATTTCGTTGGAAGCGGGAATTCATACAAATTGCAGACTGCAGCGTTCTGAGAAACATCTTTGTGATGTTTGTATTCAGGACACAGAGATGAACATTCCCTATCATAGAGCAGGTTGGAATCACTCTTTTTGTAGTATCTGGAAGTGGACATTTGGAGCGTTTTCAGGCCTATGTTGAAAAAGGAAATATCTTCCCATAACAACTAGACACAAGCATTCTCAGAAACTTGTTTGTGATGTGTGCCCTCTACTGACAGAGTTGAACCTTTCTTTTCATAGAGCAGTTTCGAAACACTCTTTTTGTAGAATCTGCAAGAGGATATTTGCATAGCTTCGAGGATTTCGTGGGAAACGGGATTGTCTTCAGGTAAAATCTAGACAGAAGCATTCTCAGAAAATTCTTCGGGATGTTTGCATTCAAGTCACAGAGTAGAACATTCCCTTTGGTAGAGCAGGTTTGAAACACTCTTTTTGTAGTATCTGGAAGTGGACATTTGGAGCGCTTTCAGGCCTATGTTGGAAAGGGAAATATCTTCCCGTAACAACTAGGCAGAAGCATTCTCAGAAACTTATTTGAGATGTGTGTACTGAACTAAGAGAATTGAACCACCGTTTTGAAGGAGCAGGTTTGAAACACTCTTTTTGTAGTATCTGGAAGTGGACATTTGGAGCGCTTTCAGGCCTATGTTGGAAAGGGAAATATCTTCCCGTAACAACTAGGCAGAAGCATTCTCAGAAACTTATTTGAGATGTGTGTACTCAACTAAGAGAATTGAACCACCGTTTTGAAGGAGCAGTTTTGAAACACTCTTTTTCTGGAATCTGCAAGAGGATATTTGCATAGATTTGAGGATTTCGTTGGCAACGGGATTGTCTTCAGATCCAATCTAGACAGAAGCATTCTCAGAAACTTCTTTGGGATGTTTGCATTCAAGTCACAGAGTAGAACATTCCCTTTGGTAGAGCAGGTTTGAAACACTCTTTTTTTAGTATATGGAAGTGGACATTTGGAGCGCTTTCAGGCCTACGTTGGAAAAGGAAATATCTTCCCATAACAACCAGACAGAAGCATTCTCAGAAACTAGTTTCTGATGTGTGTCCTCAACTAACACAGTTGAACATTTCTTTAGACAGAACAGTTTTGAAACACTCTCTTTGTGGAATCTGCAAGTGGATATTTGGCTAGATTTGAGGATTTCGTTGGAAACGGGATTACATATAAAAAGCAGACAGCAGCATTCTCAGAAAGTTCTTTGTGATGATTGCATTCAAGTCACAGAATTGAACATTCCCTTTCACAGAGCAGGTTTGAAACACTCTTTTTGTAGTGTGTGTAAGTGGACATTTGGAGCACTTACCGGCCTAAGGTGAAAAAGGAAATAATCTTCCCATAAAAACTAGACAGAAGCATTCTCAGAAACTTACTCGTGATGTGTGTCCTCAACTAAAGGAGTAGAACCTTTCTTTTCATAGAGAAGTTTTGAAACGCTCTTTTTGTGGAATCTGCAAGTGGATATTTGGCTAGTTTGGAGGATTTCGTTGGAAGCGGGAATTCATACAAATTGCAGACTGCAGCGTTCTGAGAAACATGTTTGTGATGTTTGTATTCAGAACACAGAGATGAACATTCCCTATCACAGAGCAGGTTGGAATCACTCCTTTTGTAGTATCTGGAAGTGGACATTTGGAGCGCTTTCAGGCCTATGTTGAAAAAGGAAATATCTTCCCATAACAACTAGACACAAGCATTCTCAGAAAGTTGTTTGTGATGTGTGCCCTCTACTGACAGAGTTGAACCTTTCTTTTCATAGAGCAGTTTTGAAACACTCTTTTTGTAGAATCCGCAAGAGGATATTTGCATAGCTTTGAGGATTTCGTGGGAAACGGGATTGTCTTCAGGTAAAATCTAGACAGAAGCATTCTCAGAAACTTCTTTGGGATGTTTGCATTCAAGTCACAGAGTAGAACATTCCCTTTGGTAGAGCAGGTTTGAAACACTCTTTTTGTAGTATCTGGAAGTGGACATTTGGAGCGCTTTCAGGCCCATGTTGGAAAGGGAAATATCTTCCCGTAACAACTAGGCAGAAGCATTCTCAGAAACTTATTTGAGATGTGTGTACTCAATTAAGAGAATTGAACCACCGTTTTGAAGGAGCAGTTTTGAAACACTCTTTTTCTGGAATCTGCAAGAGGATATTTGCCTAGCCTTGAGGATTTCGTTGGAAACGGGATTGTCTTCAGATAAAATCTAGACGGAAGCATTCTCAGAAACTTCTTTGGGATGTTTGCATTCAAGTCACAGAGTAGAACATTCCCTTTGGTAGAGCAGGTTTGAAACACTCTTTTTTTAGTATATGGAAGTGGACATTTGGACCGCTTTCAGGCCTACGTTGGAAAAGGAAATATCTTCACATAACAACTAGACAGAAGCATTCTCAGAAACTAGTTTCTGATGTGTGTCCTCAACTAACACAGTTGAACTTTTCTTTAGACAGAACAGTTTTGAAACACTCTTTTTGTGGAATCTGCAAGTGGATATTTGGCTAGATTTGAGGATTTCGTTGGAAACGGGATTACATATAAAAAGCAGACAGCAGCATTCTCAGAAAGTTCTTTGTGATGACTGCATTCAAGTCACAGAATTGAACATTCCCTTTCACAGAGCAGGTTTGAAACACTCTTTTTGTAGTGTGTGTAAGTGGACATTTGGAGCGCTTTCCGGCCTAAGGTGAAAAAGGAAATATCTTCCCATAAAAACTAGACAGAAGCATTCTCAGAAACTTACTCGTGATGTGTGTCCTCAACTAAAGGAGTAGAACCTTTCTATTCATAGAGAAGTTTTGAAACGCTCTTTTTGTGGAATCTCCAAGTGGATATTTGGCTAGTTTTGAGGATTTCGTTGGAAGCGGGAATTCATACAAATTGCAGACTGCAGCGTTCTGAGAAACATCTTTGTGATGTTTGTATTCAGGACACAGAGTTGAACATTCCCTATCATAGAGCAGGTTGGAATCACTCCTTTTGTAGTATCTGGAAGTGGACATTTGGAGCGCTTTCAGGCCTATTTTGGAAAGGGAAATATCTTCCCGTAACAACTATGCAGAAGCATTCTCAGAAACTTGTTTCTGATGTGTGCCCTCTACTGACAGAGTTGAACCTTTCTTTTCATAGAGCAGTTTTGAAACACTCTTTTTGTAGAATCTGCAAGAGGATATTTGCATAGCTTTGAGGATTTCGTGGGAAACGGGATTGTCTTCAGGTAAAATCTAGACAGAAGCATTCTCAGAAACTTCTTTGGGATGCTTGCATTCAAGTCACAGAGTAGAACATTCCCTTTGGTAGAGCAGGTTTGAAACACTCTTTTTGTAGTATCTGGAAGTGGACATTTGGAGCGCTTTCAGGCCTACGTTGGAAAAGGAAATATTCTTCCCATAACAACTAGACAGAAGCATTCTCAGAAACTTATTTGAGATGTGTGTACTCAACTAAGAGAATTGAACCACCGTTTTGAAGGAGCAGTTTTGAAACACTCTTTTTCTGGAATCTGCTAGAGTATATTTGCCTAGCTTTGAGGATTTCGTTGGAAACGGGATTGTCTTCAGCTAAAATCTAGACAGAGCATTCTCAGAAACTTCTTTGGGATGTTTGCATTCAAGTCACAGAGTAGAACATTCCCTTTGGTAGAGCAGGTTTGAAACACTCTTTTTGTAGTATCTGGAAGTGGACATTTGGAGCGCTTTCAGGCCCATGTTGGAAAGGGAAATATCTTCCCGTAACAACTAGGCAGAAGCATTCTCAGAAACTTATTTGAGATGTGTGTACTCAACTAAGAGAATTGAACCACCGTTTTGAAGGAGCAGTTTTAAAACCCTCTTTTTCTGGAATCTGCAAGAGTATATTTGCCTAGCCTTGAGGATTTCATTGGAAACGGGATTGTCTTCAGATAAAATCTAGACAGAAGCATTCTCAGAAACTTCTTTGGGATGTTTGCATTCAAGTCGCAGAGTAGAACATTCCCTTTGGTAGAGCAGGTTTGAAACACTCTTTTTTTAGTATATGGAAGTGGACATTTGGAGCGCTTTCAGGCCTACGTTGGAAAACGAAATATCTTCCCATAACAACTAGACAGAAGCATTCTCAGAAACTAGTTTCTGATGTGTGTCCTCAACTAACACAGTTGTACATTTCTTTAGACAGAACAGTTTTGAAACACTCTTTTTGTGGAATCTGCAAGTGGATATTGGGCTAGATTTGAGGATTTCGTTGGAAACGGGATTACATATAAAAAGCAGACAGCAGCATTCTCAGAAAGTTCTTTGTGATGATTGCATTCAAGTCACAGAATTGAACATTCCCTTTCACAGAGCAGGTTTGAGACACTCTTTTTGTAGTGTGTGTAAGTGGACATTTGGAGCGCTTTCCGGCCTAAGGTGAAAAAGGAAATATCTTCCCATAAAAACTAGACAGAAGCATTCTCAGAAACTTACTCGTGATGTGTGCCCTCAACTAAAGGAGTAGAACCTTTCTATTCATAGAGAAGTTTTGAAACGCTCTTTTTGTGGAATCTCCAAGTGGATATTTGGCTGGTTTTGAGGATTTCGTTGGAAGCGGGAATTCATACAAATTGCAGACTGCAGCGTTATGAGAAACATCTTTGTGATGTTTGTATTCAGGACACAGAGATGAACATTCCCTATCATAGAGCAGGTTGGAATCACTCCTTTTGTAGTATCTGGAAGTGGACATTTGGAGCGCTTTCAGGCCTATGTTGAAAAAGGAAATATCTTCCCATAACAACTAGACACAAGCATTCTCAGAAACTTGTTTGTGATGTGTACCCTGTACTGACAGAGTTGAACCTTTCTTTTCATAGAGCAGTTTTGAAACACTCTTTTTGTAGAATCCGCAAGAGGATATTTGCATAGCTTTGAGGATTTCGTGGGAAACGGGATTGTCTTCAGGTAAAATCTAGACAGAAGCATTCTCAGAAACTTCTTTGGGATGTTTGCATTCAAGTCACAGAGTAGAACATTCCCTTTGGTAGAGCAGGTTTGAAACACTCTTTTTGTAGAATCTGCAAGAGGATATTTGCATAGCTTTGAGGATTTCGTGGGAAACGGGATTGTCTTCAGGTAAAATCTAGACAGAAGCATTCTCAGAAACTTCTTTGGGATGTTTGCATTCAAGTCACAGAGTAGAACATTCCCTTTGGTAGAGCAGGTTTGAAACACTCTTTTTGTAGTATCTGGAAGTGGACATTTGGAGCGCTTTCAGGCCTATGTTGGAAAGGGAAATATCTTCCCGTAACAACTAGGCAGAAGTATTCTCAGAAACTTATTTGAGATGTGTGTACTCAACTAAGAGAATTGAACCACCGTTTTGAAGGAGCAGTTTTGAAACACTCTTTTTCTGGAATCTGCAAGAGGATATTTGCCTAGCCTTGAGGATTTCGTTGGAAACGGGATTGTCTTCAGATCAAATCTAGACAGAAGCATTCTCAGAAACTTCTTTGGGATGTTTGCATTCAAGTCACAGAGTAGAACATTCCCTTTGGTAGAGCAGGTTTGAAACACTCTTTTTTTAGTATATGGAAGTGGACATTTGGAGCGCTTTCAGGCCTACGTTGGAAAAGGAAATATCTTCCCATAACAACTAGACAGAAGCATTCTCAGAAACTAGTTTCTGATGTGTGTCCTCAACTAACACAGTTGTACATTTCTTTAGACAGAATAGTTTTGAAACACTCTTTTTGTGGAATCTGCAAGTGGATATTGGGCTAGATTTGAGGATTTCGTTGGAAACGGGATTACATATAAAAAGCAGTCAGCAGCATTCTCAGAAAGTTCTTTGTGATGATTGCATTCAAGTCACAGAATTGAACATTCCCTTTCACAGAGCAGGTTTGAAACACTCTTTTTGTAGTGTGTGTAAGTGGACATTTGGAGCGCTTTCCGGCCTAAGGTGAAAAAGGACATATCTTCCCATAAAAACTAGACAGAAGCATTCTGAGAAACTTACTCGTGATGTGTGTCCTCAACTAAAGGAGTAGAACCTTTCTATTCATAGAGAAGTTTTGAAACGCTCTTTTTGTGGAATCTCCAAGTGGATATTTGGCTAGTGTTGAGGATTTCGTAGGAAGCGGGAATTCATCCAAATTGCAGACTGCAGCGTTCTGAGAAACATCTTTGTGATGTTTGTATTCAGGACACAGACATGAACATTCCCTATCATAGAGCAGGTTGGAATCACTCCTTTTGTAGTATCTGGAAGTGGACATTTGGAGCGCTTTCAGGCCTATGTTGAAAAAGGAAATATCTTCCCATAACAACTAGACACAAGCATTCTCAGAAACTTGTTTGTGATGTGTGCCCTCTACTGACAGAGTTGAACCTTTCTTTTCATAGAGCAGTTTTGAAACACTCTTTTTGTAGAATCCGCAAGAGGATATTTGCATAGCTTTGAGGATTTCGTGGGAAACGGGATTGTCTTCAGGTAAAATCTAGACAGAAGCATTCTCAGAGACTTCTTTGGGATGTTTGCATTCAAGTCACAGAGTAGAACATTCCCTTTGGTAGAGTAGGTTTGAAACACTCTTTTTGTAGTATCTGGAAGTGGACATTTGGAGCGCTTTCAGGCCCATGTTGGAAAGGGAAATATCTTCCCGTAACAACTAGGCAGAAGCATTCTCAGAAACTTATTTGAGATGTGTGTACTCAACTAAGAGAATTGAACCACCGTTTTGAAGGAGCAGTTTTGAAACACTCTTTTTCTGGAATCTGCAAGAGGATATTTGCCTAGCCTTGAGGATTTCGTTGGAAACGGGATTGTCTTCAGATCAAATCTAGACAGAAGCATTCTCAGAAACTTCTTTGGGATGTTTGCATTCAAGTCACGGAGTAGAACATTCCCTTTGGTAGAGCAGGTTTGAAACACTCTTTTTTTAGTATATGGAAGTGGACATTTGGAGCGCTTTCAGGCCTACGTTGGAAAAGGAAATATCTTCCCATAACAACTAGACAGAAGCATTCTCAGAAACTAGTTTCTGATGTGTGTCCTCAACTAACACAGTTGAACATTTCTTTAGACAGAACAGTTTTAAAACTCTCTTTTTGTGGAATCTGCAAGTGGCTATTTGGCTTGATTTGAGGATTTCGTTGGAAACGGGATTACATATAAAAAGCAGACAGCAGCATTCTCAGAAAGTTCTTTGTGATGATTGCATTCAAGTCACAGAATTGAACATTCCCTTTCACAGAGCAGGTTTGAAACACTCTTTTTATAGTGTGTGTAAGTGGACATTTGGAGCACTTTCCGGCCTAAGGTGAAAAAGGAAATATCTTCCCATAAAAACTAGACAGAAGCATTCTCAGAAACTTACTCGTGATGTGTGTCCTCAACTAAAGGAGTAGAACCTTTGTTTTCATAGAGAAGTTTTGAAACGCTCTTTTTGTGGAATCTGCAAGTGGATATTTGGCTAGTTTGGAGGATTTCGTTGGAAGCGGGAATTCATACAAATTGCAGACTGCAGCGTTCTGAGAAACATCTTTGTGATGTTTGTATTCAGGACACAGAGTTGAACATTCCCTATCATAGAGCAGGTTTGAATCACTCCTTTTGTAGTAACTGGAAGTGGACATTTGGAGCGCTTTCAGGCCTATGTTGGAAAAGGAAATATCTTCCCATAACAACTAGACAGAAGCATTCTCGGAAACTTATTTGAGATGTGTGTACTCAACTAAGAGAATTGAACCACCGTTTTGAAGGTGCAGTTTTGAAACACTCTTTTTCTGGCATCTGCAAGTGGATATTTGGCTAGCTTTGGGGATTTCGCTGGAAGCGGGAATACATATAAAAAGCACACAGCAGCGTTCTGAGAAACTGCTTTCTGATGTTTGCATTCAAGTCAAATTTGAACACTCCCTTTCATAGAGCAGTCTTGAAACACTCCTTTTGTAGTATCTGGAACTGGACATTTCGGGCGCTTTCAGGGCTAAGGTGAAAAAGGAAATATCTTCCCATAAAAACTGGACAGAAGCATTCTGAGAAACTTGTTTATGCTGTATCTACTCAACTAACAAATTTGAACCTTTCTTTTGATAGAGCAGTTTTGAAATGGTCTTTTTGTGGAATCTGCAAGTGGATATTTGGCTAGTTTTGAGGATTTCGTTGGAAGCGGGAATTCATACAAATTGCACACTGCAGCGTTCTGAGAAACATCTTTGTGATGTTTGTATTCAGGACACAGAGTTGAACATTCCCTATCATAGAGCAGGTTGGAATCACTCCTTTTGTAGTATCTGGAAGTGGACATTTGGAGCGCTTTCAGGCCTATTTTGGAAAGGGAAATATCTTCCCATAACAACTATGCAGAAGCATTCTCAGAAACTTGTTTGTGATGTGTGCCCTCTACTGACAGAGTTGAACCTTTCTTTTCATAGAGCAGTTTTGAAACACTCTTTTTGTAGAATCTGCAAGAGGATATTTGCATAGCTTTGAGGATTTCGTGGGAAACGGGATTGTCTTCAGGTAAAATCTAGACAGAAGCATTCTCAGAAAATTCTTCGGGATGTTTGCATTCAAGTCACAGAGTAGAACATTCCCTTTGGTAGAGCAGGTTTGAAACACTCTTTTTGTAGTATCTGGAAGTGGACATTTGGAGCGCTTTCAGGCCTATGTTGGAAAGGGAAATATCTTCCCGTAACAACTAGGCAGAAGCATTCTCAGAAACTTATTTGAGATGTGTGTACTGAACTAAGAGAATTGAACCACCGTTTTGAAGGAGCAGGTTTGAAACACTCTTTTTGTAGTATCTGGAAGTGGACATTTGGAGCGCTTTCAGGCCTATGTTGGAAAGGGAAATATCTTCCCGTAACAACTAGGCAGAAGCATTCTCAGAAACTTATTTGAGATGTGTGTACTCAACTAAGAGAATTGAACCACCGTTTTGAAGGAGCAGTTTTGAAACACTCTTTTTCTGGAATCTGCAAGAGGATATTTGCATAGATTTGAGGATTTCGTTGGCAACGGGATTGTCTTCAGATCCAATCTAGACAGAAGCATTCTCAGAAACTTCTTTGGGATGCTTGCATTCAAGTCACAGAGTAGAACATTCCCTTTGGTAGAGCAGGTTTGAAACACTCTTTTTGTAGTATCTGGAAGTGGACATTTGGAGCGCTTTCAGGCCTACGTTGGAAAAGGAAATATCTTCCCATAACAACTAGACAGAAGCCTTCTCAGAAACTAGTTTCTGATGTGTGTCCTCAACTAACAGAGTTGAACCTTTCTTTTGACAGAACAGTTTTGAAACACTCTTTTTGAGGAATCTGCAAGTGGATATTTGGCTAGATTTGAGGATTTCGTTGGACACGGGATTACATATAAAAAGCAGACAGCAGCATTCTCAGAAACTTCTTTGTGGTGATTGCATTCAAGTCACAGAATTGAACATTCACTTTCACAGAGCAGGTTTGAAACACTCTTTTGTAGTGTCTGTAAGTGGACATTTGGAGCGCTTTCCGGCCTCAGGTGAAAAAGGAAATATCTTCCCATAAAAACTAGACAGAAGCATTCTCAGAAACGTACTCTTGATGTGTGTCCTCAACTAAAGGAGTAGAATCTTTCTTTTCATAGAGAAGTTTTGAAACGCTCTTTTTGTGGAATCTGCAAGTGGATATTTGGCTAGTTTTGAGGATTTCGTTGGAATCGAGAATTCATACAAATTGCAGACTGCAGCGTTCTGAGAAACATCTTTGTGATGTTTGTATTCAGGACACAGAGTTGAACATTCCCTATCATAGAGCAGGTTGGAATCACTCCTTTTGTCGTATCTGGATGTGGACGCTTGGAGCGCTTTCAGGCCTATGTTGGAAAAGGAAATATACTCCCATAACAGCTAGACAGAAGCATTCTCAGAAACTTATTTGAGATGTGTGTACTCAACTAAGAGAATTGAACCACCGTTTTGAAGGAGCAGATTTGAAACACTCTTTTTCTGGAATCTGCAAGAGGATATTTGGCTAGCTTTGCGGATTTCGCTGGAAGAGGGAATACATATAAAAAGCACACAGCAGCGTTCTGAGAAACGGCTTTCTGCTGCTTGCATTCAAGTCAAAAGTTGAACACTCCCTTTCATAGAGCAGGCTTGAAACACCCCTTTTGTACTATCTGGAAGTGGACATTTGGGGCGCTTTCAGGGCTAAGGTGAAAAAGGAAATATCTTCCCACAAAAACTAGACAGAAGCATTCTCAGAAACTTGTTTATGCTGTATCTACTCAACTAACAAAGTTGAACCTTTCTTTTCATAGATCAGTTTTGAAATGCTCTTTTTGTGGAATCTGCAAGTGGATATTTGGCTAGTTTTGAGGATTCCGTTGGAAGCGGGAATTCATACAAATTGCAGACTGCAGCGTTCTGAGAAACATCTTTGTGATGTTTGTATTCAGGACACAGAGATGAACATTCCCTATCATAGAGCATGTTGGAATCACTCCTTTTGTAGTATCTGGAAGTGGACATTTGGAGCGCTTTCAGGCCTATGTTGAAAAAGGAAATATCTTCCCATAACAACTAGACACAAGCATTCTCAGAAACTTGTTTGTGATGTGTGCCCTCTACTGACAGAGTTGAACCTTTCTTTTCATAGAGCAGTTTTGAAACACTCTTTTTGTAGAATCTGCAAGAGGATATTTGCATAGCTTTGAGGATTTCGTGGGAAACGGGATTGTCTTCAGGTAAAATCTAGACAGAAGCATTCTCAGAAACTTCTTTGGGATGTTTGCATTCAAGTCACAGAGTAGAACATTCCCTTTGGTAGAGTAGGTTTGAAACACTCTTTTTGTAGTATCTGGAAGTGGACATTTGGAGCGCTTTCAGGCCCATGTTGGAAAGGGAAATATCTTCCCGTAACAACTAGGCAGAAGCATTCTCAGAAACTTATTTGAGATGTGTGTACTCAACTAAGAGAATTGAACCACCGTTTTGAAGGAGCAGTTTTGAAACACTCTTTTTCTGGAATCTGCAAGAGGATATTTGCCTAGCCTTGAGGATTTCGTTGGAAACGGGATTGTCTTCAGAGAAAATCTAGACAGAAGCATTCTCAGAAACTTCTTTGGGATGTTTGCATTCAAGTCACAGAGTAGAACATTCCCTTTGGTAGAGCAGGTTTGAAACACTCTTTTTGTAGTATCTGGAAGTGGACATTTGGAGCGCTTTCAGGCCTACGTTGGAAAAGGAAATATCTTCCCATAACAACTAGACAGAAGCATTCTCAGAAACTAGTTTCTGATGTGTGTCCTCAACTAAAACAGTTGTACATTTCTTTACACAGAACAGTTTTGAAACACTCTTTTTGTGGTATCTGCAAGTGGATATTGGGGTAGATTTGAGGATTTCGTTGGAAACGGGATTACATATAAAAAGCAGACAGCAGCATTCTCAGAAAGTTCTTTGTGATGATTGCATTCAAGTCACAGAATTGAACATTCCCTTTCACAGAGCAGGTTTGAAACACTCTTTTTGTAGTGTGTGTAAGTGGACATTTGGAGCGCTTTCCGGCCTAAGGTGAAAAAGGAAATATCTTCCCATAAAAACTAGACAGAAGCATTCTCAGAAACTTACTCGTGATGTGTGTCCTCAACTAAAGGAGTAGAACCTTTCTATTCATAGAGAAGTTTTCAAACGCTCTTTTTGTGGAATCTCCAAGTGGATATTTGGCTAGTTTTGAGGATTTCGTTGGAAGCGGGAATTCATACAAATTGCAGACTGCAGCGTTATGAGAAACATCTTTGTGATGTTTGTATTCAAGACACAGAGATGAACATTCCCTATCATAGAGCAGGTTGGAATCACTCCTTTTGTAGTATCTGGAAGTGGACATTTGGAGCGCTTTCAGGCCTATGTTGAAAAAGGAAATATCTTCCCATAACAACTAGACACAAGCATTCTCAGAAACTTATTTGAGATGTGTGTACTCAACTAAGAGAATTGAACCACCGTTTTGAAGGAGCAGTTTTGAAACTCTCTTTTTCTGGAATCTGCAAGTGGATATTTGGCTAGCTTTGGGGATTTCGCTGGAAGCGGGAATACATATAAAAAGCACACAGCAGCGTTCTGAGAAACTGCTTTCTGATGTTTGCATTCAAGTCAAAAGTTGAACACTCCCTTTCATAGAGCAGTCTTGAAACACCCCTTTTGTAGTATCTGGAACTGGACTTTTGGAGCGATTTCAGGGCTAAGGTGAAAAAGGAAATATCTTCCCATAAAAACTGGACAGAAGCATTCTCAGAAACTTGTTTATGCTGTATCTACTCAACTAACAAAGTTGAACCTTTCTTTTGATAGAGCAGTTTTGAAATGGTCTTTTTGTGGAATCTGCAAGTGGATATTTGGCTAGTTTTGAGGATTTCGTTGGAAGCGGGAATTCATACAAATTGCAGACTGCAGCGTTCTGAGAAACATCTTTGTGATGTTTGTATTCAGGACACAGAGTTGAACATTCCCTATCATAGAGCAGGTTGGAATCACTCCTTTTGTAGTATCTGGAAGTGGACATTTGGAGCGCTTTCAGGCCTATTTTGGAAAGGGAAATATCTTCCCGTAACAACTATGCAGAAGCATTCTCAGAAACTTGTTTGTGATGTGTGCCCTCTACTGACAGAGTTGAACCTTTCTTTTCATAGAGCAGTTTTGAAACACTCTTTTTGTAGAATCTGCAAGAGGATATTTGCATAGCTTTGAGGATTTCGTGGGAAACGGGATTGTCTTCAGGTAAAATCTAGACAGAAGCATTCTCAGAAACTTACTCGTGATGTGTGTCCTCAACTAAAGGAGTAGAACCTTTGTTTTCATAGAGAAGTTTTGAAACGCTCTTTTTGTGGAATCTGCAAGTGGATATTTGGCTAGTTTTGAGGATTTCGTTGGAAGCGGGAATTCATACAAATTGCAGACTGCAGCGTTCTGAGAAACATCTTTGTGATGTTTGTATTCAGGACACAGAGTTGAACATTCCCTATCATAGAGCAGGTTGGAATCACTCCTTTTGTAGTATCTGGAAGTGGACATTTGGAGCGCTTTCAGGCCTATGTTGGAAAAGGAAATATCTTCCCATAACAACTAGACAGAAAGCATTCTCAGAAACTTATTTGAGATGTGTGTACTCAACTAAGAGAATTGAACCACCGTTTTGAAGGAGCAGTTTTGAAACACTCTTTTTCTGGAATCTGCAAGTGGATATTTGGCTAGCTTTGGGGATTTCGCTGGAGGCGGGAATACATATAAAAAGCACACAGCAGCGTTCTGAGAAACTGCTTTCTGATGTTTGCATTCAAGTCAAAATTTGAACACTCCCTTTCATAGAGCAGTCCTGAAACACTCCTTTTGTAGTATCTGGAACTGGACTTTTGGAGCGCTTTCAGGGCTAAGGTGAAAAAGGAAATATCTTCCCATAAAAACTGGACAGAAGCATTCTCAGAAACTTGTTTATGCTGTATCTGCTCAACTAACAAAGTTGAACCTTTCTTTTGATAGAGCAGTTTTGAAATGCTCTTTTTGTGGAATCTGCAAGTGGATATTTGGCTAGTTTTGAGGATTTCGTTGGAAGCGGGAATTCATACAAATTGCAGACTGCAGCGTTCTGAGAAACATCTTTGTGATGTTTGTATTCAGGACACAGAGTTGAACATTCCCTATCATAGAGCAGGTTTGAATCACTCCTTTTGTAGTATCTGGAAGTGTCCATTTGGAGCCCTTTCAGGCCTATGTTGGAAAAGGAAATATCTTCCCATAACAAATAGACAGAAGCATTCTCAGAAACTTGTTTGTGATGTGTGCCCTCTACTGACAGAGTTGAACCTTTCTTTTCATAGAGCAGTTTTGAAACACTCTTTTTGTAGAATCTGCAAGAGGATATTTGCATAGCTTTGAGGATTTCGTGGGAAACGGGATTGTCTTCAGGTAAAATCTAGACAGAAGCATTCTCAGAAACTTCTTTGGGATGTTTGCATTCAAGTCACAGAGTAGAACATTCCCTTTGGTAGAGCAGGTTTGAAACCCTCTTTTTGTAGTATCTGGAAGTGGACATTTGGAGCGCTTTCAGGCCCATGTTGGAAAGGGAAATATCTTCCCGTAACAACTAGGCAGAAGCATTCTCAGAAACTTATTTGAGATGTGTGTACTCAACTAAGAGAATTGAACCACCGTTTTGAAGGAGCAGTTTTGAAACACTCTTTTTCTGGAATCTGCAAGAGTATATTTGCCTAGCCTTGAGGATTTCGTTGGAAACGGGATTGTCTTCAGAGAAAATCTAGACAGAAGCATTCTCAGAAACTTCTTTGGGATGTTTGCATTCAAGTCACAGAGTAGAACATTCCCTTTGGTAGAGCAGGTTTGAAACACTCTTTTTTTAGTATATGGAAGTGGACATTTGGAGCGCTTTCAGGCCTACGTTGGAAAAGGAAATATCTTCCCATAACAACTAGACAGAAGCATTCTCAGAAACTAGTTTCTGATGTGTGTCCTCAACTAACACAGTTGAACATTTCTTTAGACAGAACAGTTTTGAAACACTCTTTTTGTGGAATCTGCAAGGGGCTATTTGGCTAGATTTGAGGATTTCGTTGGAAACGGGATTACATATAAAAAGCAGACAGCAGCATTCTCAGAAAGTTCTTTGTGATGATTGCATTCAAGTCACAGAATTGAACATTCCCTTTCACAGAGCAGGTTTGAAACACTCTTTTTGTAGTGTGTGTAAGTGGACATTTGGAGCACTTTCCGGCCTAAGGTGAAAAAGGAAATATCTTCCCATAAAAACTAGACAGAAGCACTCTCAGAAACTTACTCGTGATGTGTGTCCTCAACTAAAGGAGTAGAACCTTTCTTTTCATAGAGAAGTTTTGAAACGCTCTTTTTGTGGAATCTGCAAGTGGATATTTGGCTAGTTTGGAGGATTTCGTTGGAAGCGGGAATTCATACAAATTGCAGACTGCAGCGTTCTGAGAAACATCTTTGTGATGTTTGTATTCAGGACACAGAGTTGAACATTCCCTATCATAGAGCAGGTTTGAATCACTCCTTTTGTAGTATCTGGAAGTGGACATTTGGAGCGCTTTCAGGCCTATGTTGGAAAAGGAAATATCTTCCCATAACAACTAGACAGAAGCATTCTCAGAAACTTATTTGAGATGTGTGTACTCAACTAAGAGAATTGAACCACCGTTTTGAAGGAGCAGTTTTGAAACACTCTTTTTCTGGAATCTGCAAGTGGATATTTGGCTAGCTTTGGGGATTTCGCTGGAAGCGGGAATACATATAAAAAGCACACAGCAGCGTTCTGAGAAACTGCTTTCTGATGTTTGCATTCAAGTCAAAAGTTGAACACTCCCTTTCATAGAGCAGTCCTGAAACACTCCTTTTGCAGTATCTGGAACTGGACTTTTGGATCGCTTTCAGGGCTAAGGTGAAAAAGAAAATATCTTCCCATAAAAACTGGACAGAAGCATTCTCCTAAACTTGTTTATGCTGTATCTACTCAACTAACAAAGTTGAACCTTTCTTTTGATAGAGCAGTTTTGAAATGCTCTTTTTGTGGAATCTGCAAGTGGATATTTGGCTAGTTTTGAGGATTTCGTTGGAAGCGGGAATTCATACAAATTGCAGACTGCCAGCGTTCTGAGAAACATCTTTGTGATGTTTGTATTCAGGACACAGCAGATGAACATTCCCTATCATAGAGCAGGTTGGAATCACTCCTTTTGTAGTATCTGGAAGTGGACATTTGGAGCGCTTTCAGGCCTATGTTGAAAAAGGAAATATCTTCCCATAACAACTAGACACAGCATTCTCAGAAACTTGTTTGTGATGTGTGCCCTCTACTGACAGAGTTGAACCTTTCTTTTCATAGAGCAGTTTTGAAACACTCTTTTTGTAGAATCTGCAAGAGGATATTTGCATAGCTTTGAGGATTTCGTGGGAAACGGGATTGTCTTCAGGTAAAATCTAGACAGAAGCATTCTCAGAAACTTCTTTGGGATGTTTGCATTCAAGTCACAGAGTAGAACATTCCCTTTGGTAGAGCAGGTTTGAAACACTCTTTTTTTAGTATATGGAAGTGGACATTTGGAGCGCTTTCAGGCCTACGTTGGAAAAGGAAATATCTTCCCATAACAACTAGACAGAAGCATTCTCAGAAACTAGTTTCTGATGTGTGTCCTCAACTAACACAGTTGAACATTTCTTTAGACAGAACAGTTTTGAAACACTCTTTTTGTGGTATCTGCAAGTGGCTATTTGGCTAGATTTGAGGATTTCGTTGGAAACGGGATTACATATAAAAAGCAGACAGCAGCATTCTCAGAAACTTCTTTGTGATGATTGCATTCAAGTCACAGTATTGAACATTCCCTTTCACAGAGCAGGTTTGAAACACTCTTTGTATAGTGTGTGTAAGTGGACATTTGGAGCACTTTCCGGCCTAAGGTGAAAAAGGAAATATCTTCCCATAAAAACTAGACAGAAGCATTCTCAGAAACTTACTCGTGATGTGTGTCCTCAACTAAAGAAGTAGAACCTTTCTTTTCATAGATAAGTTTTGAAACGCTCTTTTTGTGGAATCTGCAAGTGGATATTTGGCTAGTTTTGAGGATTTCGTTGGAAGCGGGAATTCATACAAATTGCAGACTGCAGCGTTCTGAGAAACATCTTTGTGATGTTTGTATTCAGGACACAGAGTTGAACATTCCCTATCATAGAGCAGGTTGGAATCACTCCTTTTGTAGTATCTGGAAGTGGACATTTGGAGCGCTTTCAGGCCTACGTTGGAAAAGGAAATATCTTCCCATAACAACTAGACAGAAGCATTCTCAGAAACTAGTTTCTGATGTGTGTCCTCAACTAACACAGTTGAACATTTCTTTAGACAGAACAGTTTTGAAACACTCTTTTTTTGGAATCTGCAAGTGGATATTTGGCTAGATTTGAGGATTTCGTTGGAAACGGGATTACATATAAAAAGCAGACAGCAGCATTCTCAGAAAGTTCTTTGTGATGATTGCATTCAAGTCACAGAATTGAACATTCCCTTTCACAGAGCAGGTTTGAAACACTCTTTTTGTAGTGTGTGTAAGTGGACATTTGGAGCACTTTCCGGCCTAAGGTGAAAAAGGAAATATCTTCCCATAAAAACTAGACAGAAGCATTCTCAGAAACTTACTCGTGATGTGTGTCCTCAACTAAAGGAGCAGAACCTTTCTTTTCATAGAGAAGTTTTGAAACGCTCTTTTTGTGGAATCTGCAAGTGGATATTTGGCTAGTTTTGAGGATTTCGTTGGAAGCGGGAATTCATACAAATTGCAGACTGCAGCGTTCTGAGAAACATCTTTGTGATGTTTGTATTCAGGACATCAGAGTTGAACATTCCCTATCATAGAGCAGGTTGGAATCACTATTCTTTTGTAGTATCTGGAAGTGGACATTTGGAGCGATTTCAGGCCTATGTTGAAAAAGGAAATATCTTCCCATAACAACTAGACACAAGCATTCTCAGAAACTTGTTTGTGATGTGTGCCCTCTACTGACAGAGTTGAACCTTTCTTTTCATAGAGCAGTTTTGAAACACTCTTTTTGTAGAATCTGCAAGAGGATATTTGCATAGCTTTGAGGATTTCGTGGGAAACGGGATTGTCTTCAGGTAAAATCTAGACAGAAGCATTCTCAGAAACTTCTTTGGGATGTTTGCATTCAAGTCACAGAGCAGAACATTCCCTTTGGTAGAGCAGGTTTGAAACACTCTTTTTGTAGTATCTGGAAGTGGACATTTGGAGCGCTTTCAGGCCTATGTTGGAAAAGGAAATATCTTCCCATAACAACTAGACAGAAGCATTCTCAGAAACTAGTTTCTGATGTGTGTCCTCAACTAACACAGTTGAACATTTCTTTAGACAGAACAGTTTTGAAACACTCTTTTTGTGGAATCTGCAAGTGGCTATTTGGCTAGATTTGAGGATTTCGTTGGAAACGGGATTACATATAAAAAGCAGTCAGCAGCATTCTCAGAAAGTTCTTTGTGATGATTGCATTCAAGTCACAGTAATTGAACATTCCCTTTCACAGAGCAGGTTTGAAACACTCTTTTTGTAGTGTGTGTAAGTGGACATTTGGAGCACTTACCGGCCTAAGGTGAAAAAGGAAATAATCTTCCCATAAAAACTAGACAGAAGCATTCTCAGAAACTTACTCGTGATGTGTGTCCTCAACTAAAGGAGTAGAACCTTTCTATTCATAGAGAAGTTTTGAAACGCTCTTTTTGTGGAATCTCCAAGTGGATATTTGGCTAGTTTTGAGGATTTCGTTGGAAGCGGGAATTCATACAAATTGCAGACTGCAGCGTTCTGAGAAAAATCTTTGTGATGTTTGTATTCAGGACACAGAGTTGAACATTCCCTATCATAGAGCAGGTTGGAATCACTCCTTTTGTAGTATCTGGAAGTGGACATTTGGAGCGCTTTCCGGCCTATGTTGGAAAAGGAAATATCTTCCCATAACAACTAGACAGAAGCATTCTCAGCAAACTTATTTGAGATGTGTGTACTCAACTAAGAGAATTGAACCACCGTTTTGAAGGAGCAGTTTTGAAACACTCTTTTTCTGGAATCTGCAAGTGGATATTTGGCTAGCTTTGGGGATTTCGCTGGAAGCGGGAATACATATAAAAAGCACACAGCAGCGTTCTGAGAAACTGCTTTCTGATGTTTGCATTCAAGTCAAAAGTTGAACACTCCCTTTCATAGAGCAGTCCTGAAACACTCCTTTTGTAGTATCTGGAACTGGACTTTTGGAGCGCTTTCAGGGCTAAGGTGAAAAAGGAAATATCTTCCCATAAAAACTGGACAGAAGCATTCTCAGAAACTTGTTTATGCTGTATCTACTCAACTAACAAAGTTGAACCTTTCTTTTGATAGAGCAGTTTTGAAATGGTCTTTTTGTGGAATCTGCAAGTGGATATTTGGCTAGTTTTGAGGATTTCGTTGGAAGCGGGAATTCATACAAATTGCAGACTGCAGCGTTCTGAGAAACATCTTTGTGATGTTTGTATTCAGGACAGAGAGTTGAACATTCCCTATCATAGAGCAGGTTGGAATCACTCCTTTTGTAGTATCTGGAAGTGGACATTTGGAGCGCTTTCAGGCCTATGTTGAAAAAGGAAATATCTTCCCATAACAACTAGACACAAGCATTCTCAGAAACTTGTTTGTGATGTGTGCCCTCTACTGACAGAGTTGAACCTTTCTTTTCATAGAGCAGTTTTGAAACACTCTTTTTGTAGAATCTGCAAGAGGATATTTGCATAGCTTTGAGGATTTCGTGGGAAACGGGATTGTCTTCAGGTAAAATCTAGACAGAAGCATTCTCAGAAACTTCTTTGGGATGTTTGCATTCAAGTCACAGAGCAGAACATTCCCTTTGGTAGAGCAGGTTTGAAACACTCTTTTTGTAGTATCTGGAAGTGGACATTTGGAGCGCTTTCAGGCCTATGTTGGAAAGGGAAATATCTTCCCGTAACAACTAGGCAGAAGCATTCTCAGAAACTTATTTGAGATGTGTGTACTCAACTAAGAGAATTGAACCACCGTTTTGAAGGAGCAGTTTTGAAACACTCTTTTTCTGGAATCTGCAAGAGGATATTTGCCTAGCCTTGAGGATTTCGTTGGAAACGGGATTGTCTTCAGATCAAATCTAGACAGAAGCATTCTCAGAAACTTCTTTGGGATGTTTGCATTCATGTCACACAGTAGAACATTCCCTTTGGTAGAGCAGGTTTGAAACACTCTTTTTTAAGTATATGGAAGTGGACATTTGGAGCGCTTTCAGGCCTACGTTGGAAAAGGAAATATCTTCCCATAACAACTAGACAGAAGCATTCTCAGAAACTAGTTTCTGATGTGTGTCCTCAACTAACACAGTTGAACATTTCTTTAGACAGAACAGTTTTGAAACACTCTTTTTGTGGAATCTGCAAGTGGCTATTTGGCTAGATTTGAGGATTTCGTTGGAAACGGGATTACATATAAAAAGCAGACAGCAGCATTCTCAGAAAGTTCTTTGTGATGATTGCATTCAAGTCACAGAATTGAACATTCCCTTTCACAGAGCAGGTTTGAAACACTCTTTTTGTAGTGTGTGTAAGTGGACATTTGGAGCACTTTCCGGCCTAAGGTGAAAAAGGAAATATCTTCCCATAAAAACTAGACAGAAGCACTCTCAGAAACTTACTCGTGATGTGTGTCCTCAACTAAAGGAGTAGAACCTTTGTTTTCATAGAGAAGTTTTGAAACGCTCTTTTTGTGGAATCTGCAAGTGGATATTTGGCTAGTTTTGAGGATTTCGTTGGAAGCGGGAATTCATACAAATTGCAGACTGCAGCGTTCTGAGAAACATCTTTGTGATGTTTGTATTCAGGACACAGAGTTGAACATTCCCTATCATAGAGCAGGTTTGAATCACTCCTTTTGTAGTATCTGGAAGTGGACATTTGGAGCGCTTTCAGGCCTATGTTGGAAAAGGAAATATCTTCCCATAACAACTAGACAGAAGCATTCTCAGAAACTTATTTGAGATGTGTGTACTCAACTAAGAGAATTGAACCACCGTTTTGAAGGAGCAGTTTTGAAACACTCTTTTTCTGGAATCTGCAAGTGGATATTTGGCTAGCTTTGGGGATTTCGCTGGAAGCGGGAATACATATAAAAAGCACACAGCAGCGTTCTGAGAAACTGCTTTCTGATGTTTGCATTCAAGTCAAAAGTTGAACACTCCCTTTCATAGAGCAGTCTTGAAACACTCCTTTTGTAGTATCTGGAACTGGACATTTCGGGCGCTTTCAGGGCTAAGGTGAAAAAGGAAATATCTTCCCATAAAAACTGGACAGAAGCATTCTGAGAAACTTGTTTATGCTGTATCTACTCAACTAACAAATTTGAACCTTTCTTTTGATAGAGCAGTTTTGAAATGGTCTTTTTGTGGAATCTGCAAGTGGATATTTGGCTAGTTTTGAGGATTTCGTTGGAAGCGGGAATTCATACAAATTGCACACTGCCAGCGTTCTGAGAAACATCTTTGTGATGTTTGTATTCAGGACAGAGAGTTGAACATTCACTATCATAGAGCAGGTTGGAATCACTCCTTTTGTAGTATCTGGAAGTGGACATTTGGAGCGCTTTCTGGCCTATGTTGAAAAAGGAAATATCTTCCCATAACAACTAGACACAAGCATTCTCAGAAACTTGTTTGTGATGTGTGCCCTCTACTGACAGAGTTGAACCTTTCTTTTCATAGAGCAGTTTTGAAACACTCTTTTTGTAGAATCTGCAAGAGGATATTTGCATAGCTTTGAGGATTTCGTGGGAAACGGGATTGTCTTCAGGTAAAATCTAGACAGAAGCATTCTCAGAAACTTCTTCGTGATGTTTGCATTCAAGTCACAGAGCAGAACACTCCCTTTGGTAGAGCAGGTTTGAAACACTCTTTTTGTAGTATCTGGAAGTGGACATTTGGAGCGCTTTCAGGCCTATGTTGGAAAGGGAAATATCTTCCCGTAACAACTAGGCAGAAGCATTCTCAGAAACTTATTTGAGATGTGTGTACTCAACTAAGAGAATTGAACCACCGTTTTGAAGGAGCAGTTTTGAAACACTCTTTTTCTGGAATCTGCAAGAGGATATTTGCCTAGCCTTGAGGATTTCGTTGGAAACGGGATTGTCTTCAGATCAAATCTAGACAGAAGCATTCTCAGAAACTTCTTTGGGATGTTTGCATTCAAGTCACAGAGTAGAACATTCCCTTTGGTAGAGCAGGTTTGAAACACTCTTTTTTTAGTATATGGAAGTGTACATTTGGAGCGCTTTCAGGCCTACGTTGGAAAAGGAAATATCTTCCCATAACAACTAGACAGAAGCATTCTCAGAAACTAGTTTCTGATGTGTGTCCTCAACTAACACAGTTGAACATTTCTTTAGACAGAACAGTTTTGAAACACTCTTTTTGTGGAATCTGCAAGTGGCTATTTGGCTAGATTTGAGGATTTCGTTGGAAACGGGATTACATATAAAAAGCAGACAGCAGCATTCTCAGAAAGTTCTTTGTGATGATTGCATTCAAGTCACAGAATTGAACATTCCCTTTCACAGAGCAGGTTTGAAACACTCTTTTTGTAGTGTGTGTAAGTGGACATTTGGAGCACTTTCCGGCCTAAGGTGAAAAAGGAAATATCTTCCCATAAAAACTAGACAGAAGCATTCTCAGAAACTTACTCGTGATGTGTGTCCTCAACTAAAGGAGTAGAACCTTTCTTTTCATAGAGAAGTTTTGAAACGCTCTTTTTGTGGAATCTGCAAGTGGATATTTGGCTAGTTTTGAGGATTTCGTTGGAAGCGGGAATTCATACAAATTGCAGACTGCAGCGTTCTGAGAAACATCTTTCTGATGTTTGTATTCAGGACACAGAGTTGAACATTCCCTATCATAGAGCAGGTTTGAATCACTCCTTTTGTAGTATCTGGAAGTGGACATTTGGAGCGCTTTCAGGCCTATGTTGGAAAAGGAAATATCTTCCCATAACAACTAGACAGAAGCATTCTCAGAAACTTATTTGAGATGTGTGTACTCAACTAAGAGAATTGAACCACCGTTTTGAAGGAGCAGTTTTGAAACACTCTTTTTCTGGAATCTGCAAGTGGATATTTGGCTAGCTTTGGGGATTTCGCTGGAAGCGGGAATACATATAAAAAGCACACAGCAGCGTTCTGAGAAACTGCTTTCTGATGTTTGCATTCAAGTCAAAAGTTGAACACTCCCTTTCATAGAGCAGTCCTGAAACACTCCTTTTGTAGTATCTGGAACTGGACATTTGGAGCGCTTTCAGGGCTAAGGTGAAAAAGGAAATATCTTCCCATAAAAACTGGACAGAAGCATTCTCAGAAACTTGTTTATGCTGTATCTACTCAACTAACAAAGTTGAACCTTTCTTTTGATAGAGCAGTTTTGAAATGCTTTTTTTGTGGAATCTGCAAGTGGATATTTGGCTAGTTTTGAGGATTTCGTTGGAAGCGGGAATTCATACAAATTGCAGACTGCCAGCGTTCTGAGAAACATCTTTGTGATGTTTGTATTCAAGACACAGAGATGAACATTCCCTATCATAGAGCAGGTTGGAATCACTCCTTTTGTAGTATCTGGAAGTGGACATTTGGAGCGCTTTCAGGCCTATGTTGAAAAAGGAAATATCTTCCCATAACAACTAGACACAGCATTCTCAGAAACTTGTTTGTGATGTGTGCCCTCTACTGACACAGTTGAACCTTTCTTTTCATAGAGCAGTTTCGAAACACTCTTTTTGTAGAATCTGCAAGAGGATATTTGCATAGCTTTGAGGATTTCGTGGGAAACGGGATTGTCTTCAGGTAAAATCTAGACAGAAGCATTCTCAGAAACTTCTTTGGGATGTTTGCATTCAAGTCACAGAGTAGAACATTCCCTTTGGTAGAGCAGGTTTGAAACACTCTTTTTTTAGTATATGGAAGTGGACATTTGGAGCGCTTTCAGGCCTACGTTGGAAAAGGAAATATCTTCCCATAACAACTAGACAGAAGCATTCTCAGAAACTAGTTTCTGATGTGTGTCCTCAACTAACACAGTTGAACTTTTCTTTAGACAGAACAGTTTTGAAACACTCTTTTTGTGGAATCTGCAAGTGGATATTTGGCTAGATTTGAGGATTTCGTTGGAAACGGGATTACATATAAAAAGCAGACAGCAGCATTCTCAGAAAGTTCTTTGTGATGATTGCATTCAAGTCACAGAATTGAACATTCCCTTTCACAGAGCAGGTTTGAAACACTCTTTTTGTAGTGTGTGTAAGTGGACATTTGGAGCGCTTTCCGGCCTAAGGTGAAAATGGAAATATCTTCCCATAAAAACTAGACAGAAGCATTCTCAGAAACTTACTCGTGATGTGTGTCCTCAACTAAAGGAGTAGAACCTTTCTTTTCATAGAGAAGTTTTGAAACGCTCTTTTTGTGGAATCTGCAAGTGGATATTTGGCTAGTTTTGAGGATTTCGTTGGAAGCGGGAATTCATACAAATTGCAGACTGCAGAGTTCTGAGAAACATCTTTGTGATGTTTGTATTCAGGACACAGAGATGAACATTCCCTATCATAGAGCAGGTTGGAATCACTCCTTTTGTAGTATCTGGAAGTGGACATTTGGAGCGCTTTCAGGCCTATGTTGAAAAAGGAAATATCTTCCCATAACAACTAGACACAAGCATTCTCAGAAACTTATTTGAGATGTGTGTACTCAACTAAGAGAATTGAACCACCGTTTTGAAGGAGCAGTTTTGAAACTCTCTTTTTCTGGAATCTGCAAGTGGATATTTGGCTAGCTTTGGGGATTTCGCTGGAAGCGGGAATACATATAAAAAGCACACAGCAGCGTTCTGAGAAACTGCTTTCTGATGTTTGCATTCAAGTCAAAAGTTGAACACTCCCTTTCATAGAGCAGTCTTGAAACACCCCTTTTGTAGTATCTGGAACTGGACTTTTGGAGCGATTTCAGGGCTAAGGTGAAAAAGGAAATATCTTCCCATAAAAACTGGACAGAAGCATTCTCAGAAACTTGGTTATGCTGTATCTACTCAACTAACAAAGTTGAACCTTTCTTTTGATAGAGCAGTTTTGAAATGGTCTTTTTGTGGAATCTGCAAGTGGATATTTGGCTAGTTTTGAGGATTTCGTTGGAAGCGGGAATTCATACAAATTGCAGACTGCAGCGTTCTGAGAAACATCCTTGTGATGTTTGTATTCAGGACACAGAGATGAACATTCCCTATCATAGAGCAGGTTGGAATCACTCCTTTTGTAGTATCTGGAAGTGGACATTTGGAGCGCTTTCAGGCCTATGTTGAAAAAGGAAATATCTTCCCATAACAACTAGACACAAGCATTCTCAGAAACTTGTTTGTGATGTGTGCCCTCTACTGACAGAGTTGAACCTTTCTTTTCATAGAGCAGTTTTGAAACACTCTTTTTGTAGAATCTGCAAGAGGATATTTGCATAGCTTTGAGGATTTCGTGGGAAACGGGATTGTCTTCAGGTAAAATCTAGACAGAAGCATTCTCAGAAACTTCTTTGGGATGTTTGCATTCAAGTCACAGAGTAGAACATTCCCTTTGGTAGAGCAGGTTTGAAACACTCTTTTTGTAGTATCTGGAAGTGGACATTTGGAGCGCTTTCAGGCCTACGTTGGAAAAGGAAATATCTTCCCATAACAACTAGACAGAAGCATTCTCAGAAACTAGTTTCTGATGTGTGTCCTCAACTAACACAGTTGAACATTTCTTTAGACAGAACAGTTTTGAAACACTCTTTTTGTGGAATCTGCAAGTGGCTATTTGGCTAGATTTGAGGATTTCGTTGGAAACGGGATTACATATAAAAAGCAGTCAGCAGCATTCTCAGAAAGTTCTTTGTGATGATTGCATTCAAGTCACAGAATTGAACATTCCCTTTCACAGAGCAGGTTTGAAACACTCTTTTTGTAGTGTGTGTAAGTGGACATTTGGAGCACTTACCGGCCTAAGGTGAAAAAGGAAATATCTTCCCATAAAAACTAGACAGAAGCATTCTCAGAAACTTACTCGTGATGTGTGTCCTCAACTAAAGGAGTAGAACCTTTCTTTTCATAGAGAAGTTTTGAAACGCTCTTTTTGTGGAATCTGCAAGTGGATATTTGGCTAGTTTTGAGGATTTCGTTGGAAGCGGGAATTCATACAAATTGCAGACTGCAGCGTTCTGAGAAACTGCTTTCTGATGTTTGCATTCAAATCAAAAGTTGAACACTCCCTTTCATAGAGCAGTCCTGAAACACTCCTTTTGTAGTATCTGGAACTGGACTTTTGGAGCGCTTTCAGGGCTAAGGTGAAAAAGGAAATATCTTCCCATAAAAACTGGACAGAAGCATTCTCAGAAACTTATTTGAGATGTGTGTACTCAACTAAGAGAATTGAACCACCGTTTTGAAGGAGCAGTTTTGAAACACTCTTTTTCTGGAATCTGCAAGTGGATATTTGGCTAGCTTTGGGGATTTCGCTGGAAGCGGGAATACATATAAAAAGCACACAGCAGCGTTCTGAGAAACTGCTTTCTGATGTTTGCATTCAAGTCAAAAGTTGAACACTCCCTTTCATAGTGCAGTCCTGAAACACTCCTTTTGTAGTATCTGGAACTGGACTTTTGGAGCGATTTCAGGGCTAAGGTGAAAAAGGAAATATCTTCCCATAAAAACTGGACAGAAGCATTCTCAGAAACTTGTTTATGCTGTATCTACTCAACTAACAAAGTTGAACCTTTCTTTTGATAGAGCAGTTTTGAAATGCTCTTTTTGTGGAATCTGCAAGTGGATATTTGGCTAGTTTTGAGGATTTCGTTCGAAGCGGGAATTCATACAAATTGCAGACTGCAGCGTTCTGAGAAACATATTTGTGATGTTTGTATTCAGGACACAGAGATGAACATTCCCTATCATAGAGCAGGTTGGAATCACTCCTTTTGTAGTATCTGGAAGTGGACATTTGGAGCGCTTTCAGGCCTATGTTGAAAAAGGAAATATCTTCCCATAACAACTAGACACAAGCGTTCTCAGAAACTTGTTTGTGATGTGTGCCCTCCACTGACAGAGTTGAACCTTTCTTTTCATAGAGCAGTTTTGAAACACTCTTTTTGTAGAATCTGCAAGAGGATATTTGCATAGCTTTGAGGATTTCGTGGGAAACGGGATTGTCTTCAGGTAAAATCTAGACAGAAGCATTCTCAGAAACTTCTTTGGGATGTTTGCATTCAAGTCACAGAGTAGAACATTCCCTTTGGTAGAGCAGGTTTGAAACACTCTTTTTGTAGTATCTGGAAGTGGACATTTGGAGCGCTTTCAGGCCCATGTTGGAAAGGGAAATATCTTCCCGTAACAACTAGGCAGAAGCATTCTCAGAAACTTTTTTGAGATGTGTGTACTCAACTAAGAGAATTGAACCACCGTTTTGAAGGAGCAGTTTTGAAACCCTCTTTTTCTGGAATCTGCAAGAGTATATTTGCCTAGCCTTGAGGATTTCGTTGGAAACGGGATTGTCTTCAGATAAAATCTAGACAGAAGCATTCTCAGAAACTTCTTTGGGATGTTTGCATTCAAGTCACAGAGTAGAACATTCCCTTTGGTAGAGCAGGTTTGAAACACTCTTTTTTTAGCATATGGAAGTGGACATTTGGAGCGCTTTCAGGCCTACGTTGGAAAAGGAAATATCTTCCCATAACAACTAGACAGAAGCATTCTCAGAAACTGGTTTCTGATGTGTGTCCTCAACTAACACAGTTGTACATTTCTTTAGACAGAACAGTTTTGAAACACTCTTTTTGTGGAATCTGCAAGTGGATATTGGGCTAGATTTGAGGATTTCGTTGGAAACGGGATTACATATAAAAAGCAGACAGCAGCATTCTCAGAAAGTTCTTTGTGATGATTGCATTCAAGTCACAGAATTGAACATTCCCTTTCACAGAGCAGGTTTGAAACACTCTTTTTGTAGTGTGTGTAAGTGGACATTTGGAGCGCTTTCCGGCCTAAGGTGAAAAAGGAAATATCTTCCCATAAAAACTAGACAGAAGCATTCTCAGAAACTTACTCGTGATGTGTGTCCTCAACTAAAGGAGTAGAACATTTCTATTCAAAGAGAAGTTTTGAAACGCTCTTTTTGTGGAATCTCCAAGTGGATATTTGGCTAGTTTTGAGGATTTCGTTGGAAGCGGGAATTCATACAAATTGCAGACTGCAGCGTTCTGAGAAACATCTTTGTGATGTTTGTATTCAGGACACAGAGATGAACATTCCCTATCATAGAGCAGGTTGGAATCACTCCTTTTGTAGTATCTGGAAGTGGACATTTGGAGCGCTTTCAGGCCTATGTTGAAAAAGGAAATATCTTCCCATAACAACTAGACACATAAGCATTCTCAGAAAACTTATTTGAGATGTGTGTACTCAACTAAGAGAATTGAACCACCGTTTTGAAGGAGCAGTTTTGAAACTCTCTTTTTCTGGAATCTGCAAGTGGATATTTGGCTAGCTTTGGGGATTTCGCTGGAAGCGGGAATACATATAAAAAGCACACAGCAGCGTTCTGAGAAACAGCTTTCTGATGTTTGCATTCAAGTCAAAAGTTGAACACTCCCTTTCATAGAGCAGTCTTGAAACACCCCTTTTGTAGTATCTGGAACTGGACTTTTGGAGCGATTTCAGGGCTAAGGTGAAAAAGGAAATATCTTCCCATAAAAACTGGACAGAAGCATTCTCAGAAACTTGGTTATGCTGTATCTACTCAACTAACAAAGTTGAACCTTTCTTTTGATAGAGCAGTTTTGAAATGGTCTTTTTGTGGAATCTGCAAGTGGATATTTGGCTAGTTTTGAGGATTTCGTTGGAAGCGGGAATTCATACAAATTGCAGACTGCAGCGTTCTGAGAAACGTCTTTGTGATGTTTGTATTCAGGACACAGAGTTGAACATTCCCTATCATAGAGAAGGCTGGAATCACTCCTTTTGTAGTATCTGGAAGTCGACATTTGGAGCGCTTTCAGGCCTATGTTGAAAAAGGAAATATCTTCCCATAACAACTAGGCAGAAGCATTCTCAGAAACTTGTTTGTGATGTGTGCCCTCTACTGACACAGTTGAACCTTTCTTTTCATAGAGCAGTTTCGAAACACTCTTTTTGTAGAATCTGCAAGAGGATATTTGCATAGCTTTGAGGATTTCGTGGGAAACGGGATTGTCTTCAGGTAAA